>NC_000009.12:104432673-104584188 GCF_000001405.40 Homo sapiens
CTGATTGTAAATACTTCTAGCATATAGTTGCTCTTACATTGGTATGTTGCCTATTGTTTCAGAGTATTACTTTCCTTGTCTATAATGGGAAAATAATAATAATTATCTTATGGTTATTTGTTGAATACATGGGTAAAGTTATTATGAGGATTAAATAAGATAACACTTGGGAATAGCCTAATAGAGTGTTTAGCACATAATGGATGTTCAATGGATATATTAAAGTAATAAATTGCCCTAATTTCTTATTTGCAAAAGTTAAGAGACTCTGGTCACAACTTCTGATGGAATATCTTAAATAATTCATTTTTTTCCTAGACATTTTATGCACAATAATGGGACTGTGATACACACATTACCCCTTCTGCCTGAAGTGACTTGACTTTCCCTCTTTGTCACTCTGCAAGGTCCATTGTCCATTCTGAAGCATTAAATAACTAGTATAATAGGTCATGAGGGAAATTCCTGGCATCTTAATTTAAGTATATTACTTTGGCTGCAAGTCAAAGTTATCATTATTAGGATTTCTGGCATCAGAACAATCACTTGTAATTCTTTCTGGAAGAATTTTCTTGGTTAAGCAATGCTAATGAAATCCTACTTAAACCAGCTATATTCTCTGGCAATTTCCCATCTATGTATGCACTGATAAATACTTGGAAGATTCTCATTCCTCATTGATTTATTGACATAAAATCATTTTGGTTCACTATTACAATTTTCATTTCATCTACAATTAACCCATTAAATTTATTATTCCAATTATTCTTTACTCCTGGCACCTTATGTTACTATAACTGTTATTTTATACTATTATTAACACCTAAATCTATGATACTGAAAAGGGTAATAATAAATTTACAGTAGTTATTTCCACATCACCTTAGTTTGGGACATATTATTGTTTACAACTTTACGTTACTACAGTAATCTTGCTGTATAAGTATCTGTGTACAAGTTCTTTATTTTTTACGGAAACATTGAAATATTTATTTGGATTTTTTTCAGAGTTGGATTGCTGGATCAGGAAATATTAATATTTTAAAGACATTTATTACCAAACCAGTATCAAAAATATCACTTTGGTTGACCATGATACCAGCAATGGATACATGTATATGTTTCCCTGAAATGCTATGAATACTGTTTTTCTGAGGCATGAAGAGGTAAGCAGCAACACAAAGACTAGCATCAATGCCTCCTCTTTTTTTATCTAGTGCTTTCAGCACAACCTATCATATGAGCAAAAAGTATACATTAATCTAGTAGATGCACCTGCCTATTTTATCTTGTGGTTTAACTTCCAAGAACACTTCCTAAAAATATACAATGTCTTAGCACCAATTACAATGTTATAATTAATTTATCCTTAATTTTCTGAATAAAGTAATTTTCAGGCACATCTTTCCATGGATTCGGTTTGTAGTTCTGGCTAATTGCATGGGCTCAGAAACCAGACGGAATCTCAAGTCTCCTACTTAGTAGATATGTGAGAGGCACAGGGGTTACTCAGTCTTTCTGCACTTCAATTTTCTTCCTATGAAATGGGTTTGACAATGGCATAGAATTTAGAGTATTATGACACATAAATGAGTTAATATAAAGAAACTACTTAAAAAGTATCTAATATACAGTAAAATACCAATAAATTCTAGCTGTATTTGGGAGCTCCCTAAATATGTAGTAGGGAGATATATATTTAATAGGCTTTGTCTTTGTTTAAAATGATTGATTGATTAGGCCATTTATGTTGTAATATATGTTTAACACCATGTAGATCAGGGAAGACAAATATATTTCATGTCCCATTGTCATTTGACTGGTAATGGCTGCCTGGAACACTGTGCTGAAAAGGATTGTGTGTCCACATCTATGACTAGAGAGAGTCATATTTAATTAGCAGTGTCAGCCACAGGTGCAGAAGAAAACAACTGCAAGTGTGCATGTCAGATATTTGGTATAGTTGCTGTAAACTAAATATAAATAATCAAATATTTACACCTAAGTTATTTTATTGGCTCTCTGTATAGAAACAGAATAAAAATTATTTTATTGGCTTTGTATAGACAAAAATTAATAATAATTTAGCATCTACCAACTATCACAGAGAAGATCCGAGTCAGGTATTGAATTTGCAGTGAAGATGTCTGTCTTTCAATACATTACTTTGATTATATAGGTATTTTTGACATGAAAGGGCACATTTCAACTATTTGTATTCAACTACAAAAAGCAAAAAAGATACCACTCTAGTTGTAAAAGATTTAAGCTCATCAAATAAGTAGATATACGGCTTTTTAATAATATATCCTTGCTTCCTACCTGATAGGCTATGTTGTTATAGAATGAAAAATCAGTTCCCCAATGTGCTCACATCTGTTTCTTTGACTAGCCAAACAGGAGCTCATATGGAGGAACCAAGTCTTATTTATCTTTGTATTTCCAATGCTTGATATAGAGCTGATGTTCAGTAAATGTTTGTTGAACCAATGAATATCTTCTATGCCGCAGGGACAGTGGTTGTAGGATTCAAGATGAATGAGATGATCCTGGGTGATGGCTGATGCTGTCATCGCCTGAACACAACAGCACTCCCAGTAGCCGTCGTGGCTGATGGGGATTTTTCAGGCTCCACATGCAGAAGTACATAGAAGTATAATGGCTAGATAATGCCTTAGCTCATTTGCAAAAAAAATCAGCCCTAGCCCTTGTGACCTGGGGCAAGAATTTTAGGAAAATGTCCTTTTGTCCTTATCAGTGGGACTCTTAAAATATTCTTGCTAAGATTTTCAAATTACTTTCAATTTTCCAGATCCAGTGGGTGAGCTCCTTTCATTTTTACTTTATGAGAGTAAAGTGAAGTGTGAAGTCTGAAGTCCCTGACAGTAATATTGCTTCCCTGCTGTTGAAAATACTTCTTCTTCCAGGGCTTCCATCACACTATACTACATAATGTTTTTTCTCTCTCACTGTGTTTCTTTCTGGTCTTCTCTCTTCATCTTTCAACATGTTGCTTTTCCGTAGGGGTCTATTATTGGTTTTCCTCTCCTTTCCACGTATACACTCTTGTTTTCAAATCATCTACTCGTATAAATTCAGCTCTCATCTCTATCACTTACATGTTGGTATTTTCCTAAGTGTCATTTTACACTCTAACACTTGAACTTCAGATTTTTTACAAAATATTTTATTTTTATTAAAAGATTTTTTTGAGACAGGTTCTCACCCTATTGCCCAGGCTAGAGTGCAGTGGTGTGAGCATAGCTCACTGCAGCCTCCATCTCCTGGGCTTAAGTGATCCTCCTGCCTCAGCCTCCTGAGTAGCTGAGACTATAGGCACTTGCTACCATTCTTAGCTAACTTTTTTTGGTAGAGATGGGGTCTTGCTATGTTGCCCAGGCTGGTCTCAAACACTTAGCCTCAAGTGACCCTCCTGCCTCAGCCTCCCAAAGTTCTCAGTCTCCCAAAGTACAGGCATGAACCACTGTGCTCAGCCTTTAGATTTAAATGTTAAAGTTCCCCAAGACATCTTTTCCTAGATTACTTTCAGTCCCCTCAATTTTAAAATATCTAAAATCATAACTATTACTTACTCTGCCAGAACTCTGCTTATACCTCTTTATTTCTTCTATAAATGAATGATATATTTTTTAAGTTACAAAGTTTAGAAAACTCTGAGAAAGCCTATGAAGGTGTTCTTCTCTTCCTCAGCCAATAAGCTTAGTTATTTGTAGTACTTCAAAAATATATCCTTCTGAATCTAACTTTTCCAATATTATACCCATCCTTTCTTTTCTATTCCCACAATAATTGTCCTGGATGAAGCCTTCATTGTTACCTAGATTATTGTTATAGTGTCCTCAATTATCGCCCTGTTTATAAAGACTTCCCTCTATACTGATACTAGAGTTATCTTTTCTAAAAAGTAAGGTGATAACTATCTTTACTAAAAAACTTTTTCCCCTAATTTCATATAGAAAATAACCCATTGCCCTTTTTCCCCTTTGTTCATATAGAAAATAACCCATTGCCCTTCATTCACTCCATAAGAATGGAAAAAATATACCACAGATAAAAGCAAAAGAAGATTAAAGAGAAACAAAACAGAAACAACATCAAAGAAATAAAACTTAGGCTAAGTATGTTGTAAGAGCTCAATAAATATATATATTTAATTTTTTTACTTTAAGTTCCAGGATACATGTGCAGAACGTGCAGGTTTGTTACATAGGTACGCATGTGCCATGGTGGTTTGCTGCACCTATCAACCTGTCACCTAGGTTTTAAGCCCCACATGCATTAGTTATTTGCCCTGATGCTCCCCCTTCTCTTGCCCTCAGCCCCCGACAGGCCCCAGTATGTGTTGTTCCCCTCCCTGTGTCCATGTGTTCTCATTGTTCGATTCCCACCTTATGAGTGAGAACATGTGGTATTTGGTTTTCTGTTCTTGTGTTAGTATGTTGAGGATGATGGCTTCCAGCTTCATCCGTGTCCCTGCAAAGGACATGATCTCATTCCTTTTTGTGGCTGCATAGTATTCCATGGTGTATATATATCACATTTTCTTTATCCAGTCTATCATTGATGGGCATTTGGGTTGGTTCTGTGTCTTTCTATTGTGAATAGTGCTGCAATAAACATGTGTGTGCATGTATCCTTATAATAGAATGATTTATATTCCTTTGGGTATATACCCAGTAATGCAATTGCTGGGTCAAATGGTATTTCTGGTTCTAGATCCTTGAGGAATCCCCACACTGTCTTGCACAATGGTTGAACTAGTTTACATTCCCACCAACAATGTAAAAGCATTCCTATTTCTCCACAGCCTCCCAGCATCTGTTGTTTCTTGACTTTTTCATAATTGCCATTCTGACTGGTGTGAGGTGGTATCTCATTGTGGTTTTGATTTGCATTTTTCTAATGATCGGTGAAGTTGAGCTTTTTTTCATATGATCGTTGGCCATGTAAATGTCTTATGTTGAGAAGTGTCTGTTCATATCCTTTGCCCACATTTTGATGGGGTGGTCTTTTTCTTGTAAATTTGTTTCATTTCCTTGTAGATTCTGGATACTAGACCTTCGTCAGATGGGTAGATTGAAAATTTTTTCTCTTATTCTATAAGCTGCCTGTTTGCTCTGATAGTAGTTTGTTTTGCAGTGCAGCAGCTCTTTAGTTTAATTTGATCCCATTTGTCAATTTTAGCTTTTGTTGCAATTGCTTTTGACAATTTCATCGTAAAATCTTTGCTCATGCCTATATCCTGAATGGTATTGCCTAGGTTTTCTTCTAAAATTTTTGTGGTTTGGGGTTTTATGTTTAGGTCTTGAACTCATCTTGAGTTAATTTTTGTATAAGGTGTAAGGAAAGAGTCCAGTTTCAGTTTTTGCATATGACGAGCCAGTTTTCCCAGGACCATTTATTAAATAGAGAGTCCTTTTCCCATTGCTTTTGTCACGTTTGTCGAAGATCAGATGGTTGTAGATGTGTGTGGTCTTATTTCTCTATTCTGTTCCATTGGTCTGTATGTCTGGTTTTGTACCAGTATCATGCTATTTTGGTTCTTATAGCCTTGCAGTATAGTTTGAAGTCGGGTAGCATGATGCCTCCAGCTTTGTTCTTTCTGCTTAGGATTGTCTTGGCTATTCCAGCCCTTTTTGTGTTCCATATGAATTTTAAAGTATTTTTTTCTAATTCTGTGAAGAATGTCAATGGTAGTTTGATGGGAATAGCTTTGAAGCTATAAATTACTTTGTGCAGTATGGCCATTTCCATGATATTGATTCTTCCTATCCATGAGGATGGAATGTTTTTCCATTTGTTTGTGTCCTTTCTTACTTTCTTGAGCAGTGATTTGTATTTCTCCTTGAAGAGGTCCTTCACGTTTCTTGTTAGCTGTATTCCTAGGTATTTTATTCTCTTTGTAGCAATTGTGAATGGGAGTTCATTCATGATTTGGCTCTCTGCTTGTCTGTTGTTGGTATACAGGAATACCTGTGATTTTTGCACATTGATTTTGTATCCTGAGACTTTGCTGAAGTTGCTTATTAGCTTAAGGAGTTTTGGGGCTGAGACAATGGGGTTTTCTAAAGATTAGGATCATGTCCTCTGCAAACAGAGACAATCTGACTTCCTATCTTCCTATTTGAATATGCTTTATTTCTTTCTCTTGCCTGATTTTCCTGGCCAGAATTTCCAATACTATGTTGAGTAGGTGTGGTGAGAGAGGGCATCCTTATCTTGTGATGGTTTTCAAAAAGAATGCTTCCAGCTTTTGTCCATTCAGTATGGTATTCACTGTGGGTTTGTCATAAATAGCTCTTAGTATTTTGAGACACGCTCCATCAGTACATAGTTTATTCAGAGTTTTTAGCATGAAGGGATGTTGGATTTTATCAAAGGCCTTTTCTGCATCTATTGAGATAATCATGTGGTTTTTGTCATTGGTTCTGTTTATGTGATGGATTACATTTATTGATTTGAGTATGTTGAATGAGCCTTGCTTTCCAGGGATGAAACTGATTTGATCATGTTGGATAAGCTTTTTGATGTACTGCTGTATTCAGTTTGCCAGTATTTTACTGAGGATTTTCGCATCGATGTTCATCAGGGATATTGGCCTGAAGTTTTCTTTTTTTGTTGTGTCTCTGTCAGGTTTTGGTACCAGGATAATTCTGGCCTCATAAAATGAGTTAGGGAGGAGTCCCTCCTTTTCGATTGTTTAGAATAGTTTCTGAAGGAATGGTACTGGCTTCTTTTTGTACCTCTGGTAGAATTTGGCTGTGAATTCGTCTGGTCCTGGGCTTTTTTTTGGTTGGTAGGCTATTTATTACTGCCTCAATTTCAGAACTTTTATTGGTCTATTCAAGGATTTGACTTCTTCCTGGTTTGGAAGGTGTATGTGTCCAGTCTTGGGAGGGTGTACATGTCCAGGAATTTATCCATTTCTTCTAGATTTTCTAGTTTATTTTCATAGAGGTGTTTATAGTATTCTCTGATGGTAGTTTGTATTTCTGTGGGGTCAGTGGTTACATCCCCTTTATCATTTTTTATTGTGTCTATTTGATTCATCTCTCTTTTCTTCTTTATTAATCTAGCTAGCAGTCTATCTATTCTATTAATTTTTTCAAAAACCCAGCACCTGGATTGATTTTTTGAAGGGTTTTGTGTGTCTCTATCTGCCTCAGTACCACTCTGATCTTAGTTATTTCTTGTCTTCTTCTAGCTTTTGGATTTGTTTGCTCTTGCTTCTCTAGTTCTTTTAATTGTGATGTTAGGGTGTTGATTTGAGATCTTTCTAGCTTTCTGATATGGGCATTTAGCGCTATAAATTTCCCTCTTAACACTGCTTTAGCTGCATCCCAGAGATTCTGGTACATTGTCTATTTGTTCTCATTGGTTTCAAATAACTTGTTGATTTCTGCCTTAATTTTGTTATTTACCCATGAGTCATTCAGGAGCAGGTTGTTCAATTTCCATGTAGTTGTGTGATTTTTAGTGAGTTTCTTAATCCTGAGTTCTAATTTGATTGCACTGTGGTATTGAGAGACTGTTTGTTGTGATTTCAGTTCTTTTACAATAAATATTATTTTTTATTAAGAAAAGTATCCAAGGTTATATAGTTAGAGGGACAGGAATTTAACACAGGCAGTTTAAAGTCCATATGCTCTAAAGTGTTAAATAAGCTGTATAGACACAGATAAAACATTGTAAACAAAAGAAAGGAATAAAAAGGAAAATACTGACAGATTTGAATACAGCAAAATATAAAATGTCTGTTTATCAAAAGATATCCTTACAAACATTAAGAGAAAAGCTATACTTGTCAAAATATATCTTTAATCTCATCCTGTTGGTAGACATAACTACCAATTTAAAGATATTATAAACTCAGAAGAACATGTTAAGTGACCACAGAGGTGCAATCAGAAACATTCAAAGCTGCTAATGTTTGAAATCAATCTCTGCTTGCCTCCATAAGCCATACTACACATGGCCAGCTCTCCAACAATACTAAGGCAGACCTAATTTAGGAGACAGAGTACTCCATTGTCTGTGGACTTTGGTGCCAGATATCCTTTTATTGAACCTTTATCGAAATTTCCTTAGATTGAATATCAGTCTAAGATGCTTCACTCAAGTTATTGCATGGTCTGAAGGTTCTCCCAGATTTCCTTGACCCTTTCCTATTTTTTTTCACACAGCCATTCGCCCTAATAAGACCCTGTCTGGGCTTCTGCTTCTTGGTGGACCCAGACTAACACATCCTACTTATAACACTCTGCATGGCTTAGCCTCTACCAACTTCTCCATTTTCACTTTATACCATACTTTCTCTGGTACTCTCTTCCCTAACACTGACCTTCTATTATTTTGTCTTAAAATTAACTTCTTCTCCTCTTCTCCTAGTTAATACCTACAGATCCTTCAACTACTAGTTTAAGAATATCAATTCAGAGAAGATTTACTCCTATTATATATTACAAATGTATCTTGTATCTATTATAGCACTGTTGCATTTGAAATTTTATACTTTATTTTGTTATCATTTAATTAGTCTGTCCTAACTAGACTGCAAGCTAAACAAATAAGTGATTGCATAAATAAACAACCAAGGGAATAGCTATTTTCTCATCATTGTATTCCCCGTATATTGTAAAGCCTCTGGCCTGCAATAAGTGTTCAATAAATCCATGCTGAATTAATTAATGAAAATCAGCAATATAAAACCCCCGTTTTCACTGCTGGGAAATCAAACTGCAATCTAGCAAAATATTTGTCCTCAAATGGTCAAATGGTCTTCTCAATCCCCATTCCTCCCCTCCCCTCCCCTGGTTTATTAAACTCATGTTTATCCTTTTAATCTCAGTACAAATAACTCTTCCTCAAAAAAGCTTTTAATGAAGACCATCTCACCCCTGGATGGAGTGAGATGGATGGAGCGCCCTCCATTATGCATTACTATAGTCTTGGGAATCTCCCTTCATATAGTTTGTTAAGTTTTCAAAAATTTAACATTAGTTCACATAGGTATTTAATTGCATAATAATCAGTTTGACTAATTCAGCTGTCTATCCCCTCCAACAGACTCTTAAGTTCCATGAGGCCAGGGTTATAATAAACATTAGTTGAATGAATAAAAAAGGTTATCCCTTCAGTCAGTAGTGCAGCTTTAGAAAGAAAGGTTTGACCATTAAAGGACACAGTGGACAACTGCTAGCCGAACACATCATTTCAACCAACCTTAGGGAACATAGAGAGACAGGTATGGCAGTTAGATCATTATTATATTCATAAAGATAAAAAAGAATAAAACATATAGATAAAATAAGTTGTAACAAGTGAAGTGCAAAATGTTTCCCAGAAGTGTAATGTAAATATTAATCAAGCCTAGAAAAATAATTTTTTGCCTATTAGATCCATAACATGCTAAAAGCCAGCCCAGCCAGAGACAAGTCCTATTTTGACATGGCATTGTGAGGAAGACTGGTCATTGAGCATCAGAGCCTTGACTATGAATTCAGTTGGTTTATGTATTTCTCTACTTCAATACCTTCAGGAGTTATTTTAAAAATTATTTTTCCCAAAATGACAAACAGAATGCATTAAATAAAATAATAATGATGATAACAATCAACACATCATTTATGGAGCGCCATTTTAGATTCAATAAAAATGTCACTAGAATGCATATTCAACCTTACCCCCAAAGCAAGTACTTCCCTCTCCTTCATCCATGAGAGCCTACATTGCTTCCTAAGTTTGTGGGCATCACTGGACAGTGTACATATGGTTGACGAGTATCTACACTGCTTAAGTCAGATGGGGACTGGGCAATGTCTTAGGGTGTAATGAAGGATAAAGTCCTTGCTGGAAGTTCTCTAGGTCTTCAAACTGCTGATGAATACAAGTCTACATCAAAAATTGACAGACCATATAGACAGCATCATAGACCCCAGGCATATGTACAGGGAAGGATGACTGCTCTGCCGTGGAGGACTCAGCTACCCATGCACCCCATGGGTACTCAAAACCATATCTAGGAACCCTCTGCACTTCCTTTGCTACTTTAGTTTCATGCTAAGGACATGGAACATTTTTCTTCAAGGCTATGTATAGTTTATCTGCCTCTGTGTCTGCAGTCATTTCTGTCTCAGATCTTGCCATACTCCTAACACTGTCAGTTTTGCTATTTCTAGGATCCCCCAGTTCACTTTGCCTTTTATCTTATCCCTCCAAACTCTAGCTTAGGGAAATATGTTTTAAGACTGGGGAAGTATTCATCAAAAGCTCTTGGCATAATCTTTTCAATGAATTTAAGCTCTTAGATGTTTCCCTTTGAAATTATCAACTTTGGGTGCTGGTAGTATTCTTAGATAAATTTAACTCTATTGATTTTGATAGCCAAATGCTAGGGAGCTTTAGGTGATGGCAAATGGCCATGGATTCTTTATTCCCCATTATCTTGGAAACTTTTAGACAATTTTTCATTTATTTTTCTGCCTTTGTTTTGCTAACCACAGTTTCAAACTACCCTATTTCTCATTGTCACACCACTTCTTTCTGACACTATAAATATATGTGATCAACAGCACAACCATGAACTAGCCATTTGTCAAGTTAATAGTGCCTTTGCCTTGAAAAGAACAGGAAATATTTCTTGTTCATTCTCTGGCCCCTTCACAGACCCCTTGAACTGTCCTAATCCCCTTTCTCTTGCCATTATTTCTATGAACAAGTAATCCAATATGCTGGATCATTCCTTTTGATTTTACTTTTTACTACTTTTACAGTGTGAAAATTGGAACATGACTCTTTAATAACATATACCTCTTAGATTTTGACCTTTGGTTTCTCTGACCTCTAATTTTTATTTTAGAACTATTTTTTATTCGAGACTTTCCTTTGCCTGCATTATCTATGAAGATCTTGTTGTCAATGATGAATAAATATTGAGTATTTATTAAGAGACTAAAATGTATATCAGAAAACCTCATTAATTCTATGTGGACCCAGAATACATTTTCTTTTGCTTTCCATAATCGATATTTCCAGGTATAATATGCGGATACTATAAAAAAAGTTTGGAGTATTTGTAGAATAATGGTGAAGATACTTAGGAGTAAACCTTATAGCAATTTAGAATAATTCAATTCATACAGAATCCTCATTACAAATTATCTTTAGGGGCACCTGGGTAAGGAGCGTCAGATACTCTGAGGAACCAGATGCCACATCTAAGAAGGATATTCAGGGTTCAAAAGCCAAGCCAATATGTATATGTCATCACTTAGTTCTGAAGAGTAAGCATTAGGATCCTAGCTGTAAGCAAGGCAAGAGTTCAGCATCTTGGTGAACACAGGAGCCAGCTAAGAAGTCCAAACATTGATCAAAGGAGAAGAATTTTAATTCTAAACAGGGTTTTACTGTTCAGAGCTCTTTATATTTGGGTACTGGCTAGCTGGCATCAGGACAGCGTAGATGTGTAAAAGGCACAGGCTTGGTTTGATACTAAAAGGATTGTAAATATTATCCCTTACATTCATATACAGACTACAGTTATAATAAATAACTTTGTTGGCTTGGGTTGAATTGTTATAGTCAAATTAATTTAATTGAAATACATAGGTATACACACACATACTCACACTTTGGAATTACCTGTATAACATAATACTGTATTTGTGACATAGTTACTAATAATTTCTTTTTAAAAAAATCATTTTCTACTGTTCCCATATGCATTCCTCTCTCCCTAACCCTTTCCCAAGTGCTTGTACCAGTTTAGTTACTGTCTGAGACTGCCCTTCCCAACCACGGATTCACTCTCTTCCCACCTCTCAGGGCTGGTTTGAATGGAATGTCCTGTGGGATGACCAAGGCTAGCAAAAGGAGAAGAGGAGATGGGTGGAGGGTGTGATGGTTAATATTAAGTGTTAACTTGATAGGATTGAAGGATGCAAAGTATTTTTCCTGGGTGTGTCTGTGAGGGTGTTGCCAAAAGAGATTAAAATTTGAGTCAGTGGACTGGGGAGGCAGACCCACCCTCAGTCTGGGTGGGTACCATCTAATCAGCTGCCAGCACGGCTAGAATAAAGCAAGCAGAAGTTGGAAAGAGTAGACTTGCTGAGTCTTCCAGCCTCCATCTCTCTCCTATGCTAGATGCTTTCTGCCCTCGAACAACAGACTCCAAGTTCTTCAAATTTGGATTCTTGGACTTACATCAGCGATTTGCCAGGGCCTTCAGCCACAGACTGAAGGCTGCACTGTCAGCTTCCCTACTTTTGAGGTTTTGGGACTTGGACTGGCTTCCTTGCTCCTCAGCTTGCAGACGGCCTATCATGGGACTTCACCTTGTGATTGTGTGAGTCAATTCTAATTAACTTCCCTTCATATATACATATATCTTATTAGTTCTGTCCCTTTAGAGAATGCTAATACACATGGGAAATATTCCAAAGTCTGGGTAAGGAGGCAGGCAAACTCAGGCTGGTTTATCTACAGATTCCAAGTCCCAGGGACTGTGTCATTCTCCAGGGAGAAAAAAAAAAAAGATGACACCTGTATGGACATAAAGAGAGAGACAGTATACACAGACTCCATGTGGGGAATAATAGTAAGGTGTGATGCCAAAAGCCAAAAGTTGGAGCAATTTCTTTTGAGGGTTGGTTCAATTGGATATTGAAATCAGACCAAGAGGACGTCACAGGGGTTAACTCAGGGAACAGGATAAACACCCATTGGCCTATTCTGGAATATTTCATTCCAAACCAAATTAGTAGTGAGAAGGAATCAGGCATAAGTTTAAGGCCAGTGCTCAATATCAGGCCAATAGTTCCTGAGTTACTGGGGCCAATGGGAGGATTATCTGAATTGATAGCGCATCTGTATTTTTTTCTAGAAGAGTAGAGTATCTCTCATCTGTGGCTCATTCCCAGTATTTATAATTGAACAGTGTGTACCAGAATAACCACTGACTGGATTTTAAAGCCAATTTCCCTTCTGATTGATCAGTGTCCTGACTCTACCAGCTATCAAGTATTTGAATATCACCTATATCATGTGCTCTTTTCTATCAAAATTCCTTTAACACTGTGTTGTAATCCTACTTATATGTTTGGTCTTTTCAAGAATGTGAACTCCTTCAGGGCCGTGACAATATCTCGAATGATAATAGCTACAATCGCTTGAGTAACTAAATGGATGCCAAAAACATGCTGAACATTTTATATACATGAGTGCTCATTTCTGTGTTAAATCTATGAGGCATTATCATTTTAATCCTCATTTTATAGATGATAAGCAAGGATTAATAAAGCTTAACTTTCCCAAATCAATTAAATATTCTTGAATTCATATTTCTTGTTCTTTCCATTAAACTGTGATGTATATTATATATTTTCACCTTTTGAATGAATGGGAATCCATTATCTGCCGTCATTGCTGGCACATTTATTAAATGAGTGAATTGACTGATTGATTCATCCAGTATTTATAGAGCATCTATGTGTCAGGCTATGTTTTAGGCATTGGTAAAACAGTGGTGAGCACAAAAGAAGTTCCCATCCTTGCACAGTTTACTTTCTGTTAGAGGAAAGCAGACAATAAACATACATACATAGACAGATGATAGTAGATAGATAGACAGACAGACAGGTAGATAATGAATAAATACAATACATAAACAAGTAAAACAAAAACAAAATAATGACAATGTAAGGGCTATAAGCAATAAATCAAGTAAGGGGATAGAGCATGACAGCATGACTCATGTACTATTTGGATAGAATGATCAGAGAAGATCTGTGCAGGTGATAATTGAGCAAAGACTTGAATGAAACAAGAGAAATAACATAAAATATCTGTGGAAGGGCATTCCAGGGAAAGTGAGTGAGAAGTACAAAGGCCCCCAGTTTGTTAATGGAGTTTGTTATGGGAGCCAATGTGACTGGAGTGCAATGAGTAGTCGCAAATAAAAATAAGGGCCAGAATGACAGCCTATGGTTCCGCATAGGACCATGTGGAAAAGGACTATGGCTTTTACTTTTGAGTGACATGAGAAACTATTTTAAACAGTCTTACATTTTTAAAATATCCATCTGTCTGTTGTGTGGAAATAAACTTTCCTGGCTACTAGGGGAAGGATGAGGCTAGTATCCAGACAAGAATTGATGCTTAGACCAGGGTGGTTGCAGCAAAGTTTCATTTCTGGATATATAAGGAGCTGACATATTTGCTACTGGATTGGATGTGAATTGGAAGAGAAAGAGAGGAGACATAAATGATTTTAAGTTTGGGTCTGAGCAACTGGGAGAGGGGTGCATTCTTCTCCTAATCCATGTGATATAAGCCTTAACACGGCCTAAGTAGGTACTATACCTACCACCTAAATGTATCTACCCCTCCAAATACTCCTTAGGCTTTTATTTTGTCTTTAAGAAGAAAAATAAACTGTCCAGCTACAATCTTAGTATCTCCCTCATTTAAACCTATTTTTCTCCTGTGTTGACAGCACCTTAGTTAACAGTGCAACATTCAGCTAGATACCCAAGGGAAATACCATGGAATTACTCTTGATTCTACCCATTTGTGCATCTCTCATTTCAACCATGTACTAAAGCCTATAATTTCTCCCTCCAAAAATTCCCCTCAAGTTCACTCAGTCTCTACTCAGAAATTAATTTAGACCACTCAGCATCACTTAAAGGAGCCAGGCCCCACAGCTGGACCAGTTCCACTTAAACTCATACCAGTTGAGCTGCTGAGGCCTCTGCCTGTCTTGCAGTCAGGGCTCTGGCCAGCCCTCATGGTTCAATTACATAAAACAGCAAATGGCATTTCCTGTTGTCCAAATTATTACATACCGTACTAAAAACACTAATTTTTACATTATATCTTTTCCACTCTTTAGACCCCAACCAATAATTATCTCAATCACATTTTAACTAAAGAGGGGAAAAGGCACATGGTTACTCATGCAGTTGGTTTATGTGTTGTGGTTATTAATAATCAAAGTCACCAAAGGCAAAGTGGAAAAAATAACAGCTATGCAATCAAGAACAGAGAAAGAAGCAAGCTCAATATAGTTTCCAATAAACCTTAAAATTGGGCTTTGCAAATATTAACAAAATATGAGAACTAAATGATGTGATTGTTTGTCTCTTTTTTATCTAAAGTGGACCAGAGAAAGTTTTGTGCAGCGCAGCAAGACTTCTGCATCCTGATTGAATACAGGGTCACACAACCCAGAACTCATTTCTGTGTATGATTTCTCTTTAAGTGTCTTGCCCTGTAACCCTCCCTCTCCCAGATATTTTAGTTGCAAATTGAGCTCTTTTCTAAAATTGACAAAAATAAAATATTAATAAACTTTCAACTACTGGAACTATAAAGAAAAAGCATGACGTGTGATATTGGTGGAAGGTAGAGCTCATTCCTCAGGCATCCATCATGGTGCCAGGCTTTTCAACAGCCTGAATGCAGAATTCTTAGATCATTTCAAACTTACAATCTTGGCAATGACATGACAGCTGGTGCACGTGGCATATTAATTCAGCAAACATCAATGCCAACTGTGTGCCCCATGGATCAACTCACCACCTTTTCTTCAACAAAGCAGCAGCTGTCTGGTTTTTAAATGCTTAGTTACAGGGGAAAGGGGTAATATTAGACATACTTATGGAAGCATAAAATCATGTATATAAGCACGAATTGATGTGACCATCGTGATGGAATAAATTTGCATAATCAAATCATTCCGAACAATTATTTAACTCTTTACTAGTTAACTTTTAGTCCTTACAGTTTGAAAATGTAATTATAAACAAAATCTCCTCCTAACCCAGAAATGTTCACAAAAGTGGAAGAAACAGAAAGCTATTTTTATTGCATAAGCATTAAATTAGAATTCAATGCACATCACATGCATTTTGCTAAGAGATTACAAAAGCAGAAAGAAATCTTACCAAGCAGAAACAAATCATTACATACATGCTCTCAAGACAAACTATAACTAGTCCTCATGTAAGAGGACATGATGGCACAGTTTGTCACACAGAATTCATTCTAAATTCATTTGGTAATTGGGTGACCATCTTGTTAGCTAATTGACTTTATCCAAAGGAAAAATAAATTTCTAATATCTTTATCACAGGAGGCAGTTTTGCCACTTAGAGCAAGGCATCTACCAAAGATAAGCTTCTCCCCTCCCACTGAAACTGGTAGATAGGGATGCTGTCTTCCTTAATGATTGCATTTCAAAGAAATAGTTCCCAGGTCCTCGAGAAGGAATTCCTGGACCATACAGCAGACAAGAGGCTAATTTAGCTTTTAACGACTTACAAAGAGACAGAGAAACAACTTGTAAGTTTTCTAAAGTAAATAAATACTCTAAGCAAAGGGAAGGAAGTCTCTTCCCTTATTATTTTCAACAGGGAGAATTAAGCATTTATTTTCTATGTACTTTTAAACACAAAACCTGGTGCATAATAAATGTGCATTACACATTTATTGTTGATTCCTGTTGACATGTAATGAGTCACTTCCAAACTGATGCAGAGAATATAAGTAAAAGAATCACAATAAATAGAACAAAATGTAGAAGATGAATGATACAGCAAGAAAGCATAGATTGTGATTGTCATTACAATGAGATAATGAAGGACAAAGTGTTTCCCTTATGAAGGGATTCGGTGTGAGGCTGACTTGTGCTGACACCCCTTCAGTGTGACCTTGTGTGTGTTGTTAAACCTTGTTAGCTCTGTCTCTTCACTTATAAAATGGTTACTATCTTTTTCATTTAATCTAAGATGTATGTCATTGATTATAAGTGGCACCATTTTTATATATTATAAAAAGGAAAAATATCTGATAATTGCATGATGCCATTCATTGTGAGACCTATCACAATCTTAATGACAGTAAAATGTGAGAAAGTTGGGTGTCTCAGAATCAATGAAATATAACTAATAACAGCTTCATAGTGAGGTTTTGGAAATTAAATATTATGATGTATGAGAAGAGTGTAGCAGGATACCTGGCACAAAATAGATGTTCAATATATGTTATCAATTATTGGTGATAATGATAAAAAATAGTTTGAACTCTTCTATTACAACAAAAATCCCCAGACTGGTCAAATAAACCAGGGCGCAGGAAGAACTTGCTTCTTATAAAACATCCATTTGCAATAACTCGACAAACAATGGTTAAGTCTCAAAAAACTTTTTATACATTTCTTGTATATCTGTAATTATTTTCCCATTTTCATCCCTATTTTTAATCAGTATGTTTTTATCCTTGGTTAGAGTACTTAATGATTTATGTATTTTGTTGTACTGTTTTTAATGGTAAGTTTCTGAATGTGTGTATTGGTTCTGCTAAAGACTTTCATTTGTTGGCTGGTTAGTTGATTTTCCAATTCAATAATTCCTGATTTTAACTTTATTGGTTTCTTTTGCTTTTCTTGGCTTTGCATGTTTATCTATCAATTTACTTATTTACATAATTTTCTCTTTGAGTTGAAGATGTTTTACATGTTTCTGCCCTTAGTAAGATGTTGAAGGGGAAAAGATTTTCTCTCAACCCCGTTTTAGCAATACCTCATATGTATTAATATACGGTATGTTTTTAAAGTAATTTTTTTAGGTTTTCTTCAGTTTGGGTTTTAGTTGTTTTTTTGAATCTAGGTTTATTTTTTGAGAAATTGTGTGTGCAATTTTCAAGATACATGGTTTTTTTTAAAGTCATAGGACTTTTCCATTGTCCTTATTAAATACATTCAGCAGGCTATATCTGCATCTTAATAATTTGGGGCTCATTGTCCCTAGAACATAGTGTATTCTTTTCCTGTGCAGATTCTGATTTTTTATTATGGGAAATTCTTGTTCCTATGGATTGTTGAACACTTTGTCTAAAATAAATTTAATAAACTCAACAAATAAAAGAAATTCAACAAATAAATTGTTGAATGTTTCAGATCGCCTTTTTCTGCGATTCATATCTACTATTTTCTCTAATCACTTTTGCATATTTTTTGTTGACATCTAATTAACATACTGCAAAATGCACAGATCTTACATCTTCACTTTGTTGACTTTGGCAAATGTAGACACTATGTAACCATCACACAAAACCAGATACAGAATGTTTCCATCAGTCCAGCGATTTCCCTCCTGCTCTCATCTAGCCAAGTCTCCCCTTCCACCCAGACAACCACTTCCCATTTTCTATTTTCAGAGTCTAATTACTTTGATATTTTTCATTGTTTGTATTTTATTTTGAATGACTGTTTTTCAAACCAATCTCCTATATTCACGATTGGTATTTGTCCTCCATGAGTTCTGCTTTGGGCTGCCTCTAAACAATCTTTCATGTTGATTATAATTCTACTCTTTTGCTGCATTTCTTTTGAGTTCCACCAGCTTATTTCTATCTACTGCTTGTGTTCTGATGTGTTAACTGCTTTTTGCTCTCTTTGTATCTCTTCTGAAATTTTGTCACAAATCTTTGCTTTCCTTAATTTATTTCAAAGCAAGGAGACTTTTTGTCAAAAATTTCCAGCTTCCCAAAGAAATTCTTCTTTCCATGTAAATTTTCATTTGTCCTTCATTTATGTTTCCTTTCTTTTTTCTAATATCTATCCATACTTCCTATGTTAAGTATAACCATCTTTTAATAGAGGCAGTTCTATTCATACCAGCTATCGATAAAAAAAAAAAAACAGGAACACTTGAGGTAGCATATGTGCTCACTTCCCAGAATATCATGGGCTATTCTGGCATTTCTGACACTTCAGTCCATTTCTGACATTTCTTTTGATTGGAGGGTCACCTGTCCCACAATATTCCATAGGCCAGACATTTCTAAATCTATTGTTTTGATTCTGTTGGGAAGTAGCAGAATAACATACTATATATGATTTAAATAAATAGGGATTTGGTTCCTTCAGATAAGAAGAAGACTGGCAGTAGACTGTTGCTAGTACTGGTGCAGTAACTCAATGATGTCATCACAGGTTTCAGGCTCTTTTGTGTGTTACGCTTTCCTACCATCAGGTTTTAGCTTTTCTTTTCTATATGTTTTGCCTCATAGTGATAAAATAGTATCACAGTTCCAGCAATCACACCTACCATCAAAGCAGGAAAAGAAGAAAAGCATAAAGCAAGAGGTTTCACTTGAATTTTGTCAAGAAAACAAAGACTCGTCCAAAATTTTCTTTACATCCTGTTGGTCAAAAATAGTTTGAACTGGCAGCTCTAACTGCACGAAAGGTTGGAAGTGTAAGTACATGGTATTTTTCAACCTCTGTTACGGGTATCAAATAAATGAGCAGGGGATTGAGAGTTGTGGTTGAGTTGGAAAACCAGCTGTGTTTTCCACATGCCTTTTTGTGCTAAGTATGACAGCAACTGTCTCAGGTGAGAACCTTATATTACAGGCTTGTTGTGTGGTGAACTGGTATATATCTGTCTCTGTTAGCAGACTCTGGTGAACTTTGAGGTCTCTTTATATTTTTTAGTAACCATGTGTATTTCTCATTTCTCTCATTAGCTGTCATGTCACATTTTCTATTTTATTTGTAGTTTTTTTCCAGACCTCAGGTTGCAGAAGATTGAGCTAATCATATTCGTCAGTTGGAGACATAGTGTCATCAGTGATTACACACGTCCCCAGCATTGTAATTTATTTAACCCCTTATATCCTTGTTCCCATTTCTATCCATTCCCTCCTCAGCAACCATTTTAATATGTTTAATACATTTTTATATATTTTGTTTAATATAACTTTTTATATATTTTAATACATATTTATATATTTTGTTAAAATGTTGTTATAGTTTTGTGATATATGTATCTATAATATAGTATTATAAGTTCCCTTCTATTACATTTATTACATGTATGTATATATACAAATGTGTATATATTTTCATTGACATCTCATTAACAGACTACAATACCACAGATCTTAGGTCTTCAGTTTGTTGTCTTTTGACAAAGGTATACACTGTGTAACCATTACACAAAACAAGATACAGAATATTTCCATCCCTCCAGAGATTTCTCTCATGCTGTCATCTAGCCTAGTCTCCTCTTCCTCATTATTTGTAGTTTTTTTCCAGACTTCAAGTTGCAGAAGTTTGAGCTAATCGTATTTTTCAGCTGGAGACACAATGTCATCAGTGGTTGCACAAGGCCCCAGCATTGTGTATATGTATACAGACACACACACACACACACACACAATATAGATATATATGTACACATGTACATTCAACCCAAGTCTCTCCTTTTAAGATCTATCTGGCCAGATGCAGTGGCTCACGCCTGTAATCCCAGCACTTTGGGAGGCCGAGATGGGCGGATCGTTTGAGGTCAGGAGTTTGAGACCAGCCTGACCAACATGGTGAAACCCCATCTCTACTAAAAATACAAAAATTAGCTGGGTGTGACGGCATGTGCCTGTGATCCCAGCTCCTCAGGAGGCTGAGATGGGAGAACACTTGAACCTGGGAGGTGGAGGTTTTAGTGAGCCAAGATCGAGCCACTGCACTCCAGCCTGGCTGACAGGGTAAGATTCCATCTCAAAAAAAGGAAAAAAAAAAAAAAGATCTATCCATGTTCTTTTGTGTCCACCAAGTCTACTGCTTCTCACTGCTGGCTACAACCCAGTGATTTGTACCCTCCATGTTACCCACTTCTTTAGCCTGCTTCCTCTTCTACCTATCCCAGTGACATTGCCATGAACATCTTGAACTTGTCCCTTTATAGATCTGTGTATTAGTTTGTGATATTTATCCAGGACTGAAATTGCTGGATTGTAGGGTATATATATAGAGAGAGAATTGCACTCAATACTGCCAGGTTTCTCCAAAGAATGTCTTCGGCAATCAAAGTTTTCACTACCAGTGCCTAAGTCTTCCTACATCCTCACTTCTATTCCAACACTTGGCATTAGCCAGCATTCCAATGTTTGCCAGTCTAAAGGGCATATAACAGTGATGACTTATCACTATTATTTATTCTGCATTCTGTATTTTTACTGATACATGATAGCCCTTGATTTATTAAAAACATCAACTTTTAATTTGTGACTATTTTTCCTGGCGAAGTTGCCCTTCAGATAGGTTTTTTGGTATTGAAGTTTTGGAGCTTATTTCTAAATTTGGGGTAATTTAAAAATTTTTTATGAAGTCACATTGATTAATTTACTTCTCTACTTTATTTTTGTAGTCATGTGCTTAGAAAATCTTCTCACCCATCTACGTATTGTATTAAAGTTCTGCCAAATATGGTTCTAAGAAGTCTATAAACAGTAACAGTTTTATATTTTCATAATTATTAGAGGGTGTACAATACAGACAACGTTTTCATCCCTCAACCTCACCATAGGTTTTCCTTCATCCCCAGAGTTTAAGAGTGACCACAATTGAGAAAAAGAACAAGGAACTGGGCAAAGTTCAGAGATGAGGTAATGTCTGTCATACATATTCTCTCGTGATAAAGTAACTGTGCTTTTACACCTTGGGACTGCTATTTTAAAATAACTGTACCTTTAGCCATGTCATGATGCCCTTCCTTATATTTTCTCTAGGTGAAAGTTACAGTCCAAAATAAAAAATTTAATAGTTGTAAACCATTATGAGCTGAAGCAATTTCTATTCATCCCTTCCCTATCTCATATAACCATAAATAAGAATCAAAATGGTTGTTCATTATTTATTACATGATGGAGAGTCTTAGCAAAAACTAGTTGTATTAAGAAATAATTTTCACCTACACCACAACACTGGAGGTTATTATATAATTTACAATGTAGTTTTTCTATTTAGGAAGGCTTTATCTCACATACACCTATAAGCTCTTATTCTTTGTTCATTTTAGTGTGTTATTTTCCTTCTGAGTTATTATTTGTAATGATCTTCTTTCTCTTGCAATCTCAGAGCATTTTGCAGACCAAAAGTTGTGCTTTGGGTACCCTTATGAGTGAGCTGTATTGGCATCTGTAGAGGACTAGAATCCCAAAGCAAAAACACATGAAGCAACTCAGTAGCCTGCTGAAGTTTGCTTATGAGTCAAAGAATTTAATGATCCACCAAAGAAGCATATAACACACAAAAAAATGGGTGCTTGGCCTTGATGGAATTTTTATCACTTTAGTCAAATGAAGAACAATCTAGCCATGAGATACATAATATGTAAATAATACATAATAATAATCACATACACTAATGACTGTTTATGGTTATTCTTGTAGCAGAAGATTGAAATGTAGACTGAAAACATTGATTCAAATCCAAACTCTAAAATTTTAAGCTTCTTAAATATATAAAACTTCAGGATTAATATTTTGGAGTATTTCCCTTAAATTGTTCCTTTGCGGTAGGAAATGGAATAGAAATTGTGAAAGCTTAAGCTCTGCTCAAAGAAGTAAACATTTTACCCAAAATGTATGTATCATAAACCCTTGAATATTTCATAAATTCTTCATTAATCATCTCTTGATTCAGCCTTATTGCAACATAACAAATCATATCTCATAATATGTAGTTAGGTTGCTCTAAAGAGACTGAAAAAGGTTTTGCTGTTTCTTTCTATGGCACTGTCAGATATCAGCATTATTTTTCTTGTGATAATTTTAACATTTGGTAATTGTTAACTAGTATCAGGGAAATTCCAGATGCATCTGGTCAGCACTGGTATCTTGGCACACAATATGCTGTTTAAATAATACATGCCTTCCAAAACTGGACCCTTCGCACAGCAAATGGAGGCAGCTGGATGCAAAATGATTGGAAAGATGGGAGCCAAGCGTAAAACTGTTCTATAGAAGTCAACTTTTATTTTGCATTAACTAAATCTGCTTTTCTAAGCTTATCAACCCCTTCAAGTTTACAGTTAATGGGGAACACTGTAATTTGAGATGTCAGAAAATGTATCTCAGATGGAAAAGGGAACTTGCAGAGTCCTTCTCTGAGGCTAAGGGAAAATTATATGCTATATTCTGGTTGTTCCTTGGGTTTTAAACTTGGAGCCAAGCAGTTTTCGTTTTTAAAAGTATGGTGCCTTATTTATCCTTTTTGTTTTTAAATTTACAAAAGCTACAAAGCTGATCTATGTGAATAAAGGCTTGTATTTAAAATAATAATAATAATACATGCCTTCACTTAACATCCAATAGTCATATGTATAAAGAAGCTTAAGCCATGTAAATCATATTTAGCAAAGAGAAGAAAAATTAAAATGGACTTTGAAAAAAATAACATCTCATCCTATTTTGCAACGCCTAATAAAGTGAGACAACTTACTCTTCATTCCTAATCCACAAAGAAATGCTCACTGGCTCTAAATAATTGTCTCCTTAGATGAGTAAATGCGGTATATGAGAAGACTTCTAAACAGTGGAACATGGAGGAGTGGAAGAAGACTAGCTCAGTAGATTTAAAATTCCCCAATCCATAATTACAAAATACCACTTCCCTTTTATTATTTTAGGCTTTCCCAGAACGAAGTTAAGGTTTTCAAAGCAATAAAAAGCTGAAAACACTATATGTTGGTTTTTTTTTTTGGTAGTCCATATCAAAATGCATATAACAACTGTCACCATAGAGGAGAAACCTTTCCTATATAGAATTAATAAAATTGTCTGATTAAATTCCAGAATGCTGGTTGTACTGGGAATGAAATCCACTCCTGAACAGCCTGCAGAGCTTTGAAACTCTAGAATTAGAAATAAACTTGAAGCTCATTCTTGAGGCACAGATCTCTTCTAAATACACAGATCTCTCTTAAAGCTCTTTCTGTATTATAATAATTGATGATTTTGTTTCATTTTTGTAGCAAAAGCACTAGTTTTCATGAAGAGTTACACACAGAATTAATTATGGCCTTTTATGAATCAATAATATGCTTGCCTATGTTCAATCAGGTAAGTGCTTGATCAGTGAGAAAAACTGTTATTCACCCAAGAGGTAAGTACGGTGGAAACAAATTGCAGCAATAATTGGAATAACCATCATTTAACTTATCTGGACGAATAATTTTTTTATTTTGTAGATATTTTGGGGATTCACCCTAGACTTTTTCTCCTTAATCATTCCAAAAACTCAATAAATCACTAAATCCTACTTATTTTACCTTCTAAAATCTCTTAGTATCACACCTTTCTTTCTACTTCCAGGGCTAGAGCCTTCAGGGCATTACCATCTATTAACTAAACTATTACAACTATTTTTTAACTGCCTTTCTGGCTGCTAGTTTCTCCCTGGTCTGATGTATTTCTGCACTACTGTCCAAGTCTAATTTGACCATGTGACTTCTCTGATTAAACTTCTCCTTTTCTATACTATATTTTGGATCAAGTCCAAATCTCTTTGTGTGTCATACAGGCCTGTGCGTTATCTGGCCTTGTCTGTCTTCCAACCTCATCTCTCTCCCAAGTAACACCACCACATTTAAGCAGAGGATCAGAGGTGTAGGCTATCAAAATGCTTATATTTCCCTGAGCATCTCTTTCATGATGACTTCCCTTTCATGATGTTCCTTACTCTTCCTAGAGTCATCTCAGACAGAGACAACATCTTGTAGAAAAACATTTCAGAAATCTGCAAGAAGAATATCTAATGAGAATATTTTATTGCCAAGAGCTTTGCACAATTTAATTCAATGAATAGTTAAAATAACCCTAGGAAGCAGGAACTATTGTTACCATTTTACAGATGAAAAAACTGAAATTCATCTATACAAGAAGTGTGCTCAGCACCACATAGGTTGTAAGTGGTAGTGCTAAGTTACAAACTCCAACAGTTTGAAGCCAGCACAGTCACGTGTTTTATTGCACTTCCATCCCCCTTTCTGATTTTTATATCAACACGTATAAGAGTTGGGAGCACTAGAGTTTATGACTCTATCCTCTACTTGACTGTGATTCCTTCATGGCAAGGACAATGTCTGTTTTATCTTCCCTGTATTCTCAACATACAGTTTGGTCCTGACAATCCGTAGGTATTTGAATAAATGAAAAAAATGGCTTACCGGTTATTCAACCTTTTCCTTACTTTGTTTTTGTTCATTAATTGTCCCATGCATGTGGCCACCTAACAGATAAGCTAAAGAGTGGAGCAAATATAAGTTTCAAATCAGTCCAGGTGGTACCTAGGTGATGTTCTATAAGAAGGCTTAGTATAGAAAAAAATGTAAATGAATTTAACCAAATCCATTTAATTAAAATGTAAATGGATGTAGCTAAGAGAGGTAAAGTAACTAGCCCAAGTTCACACATCTAGTAAGTTTTTTAGTAACAGGTCTACCAGCTTCTCAGCCTTGTGAAGTCCAAGTGAGCACCTGTTGCAATGGATACTTGCAATGGGTATTCATATGTATTCTTGGAAGTCTCCTCTTTGTTATCACAAATGCATATTTAAATTTGGCCTGTGTATGGTCTGTCTTCCCAATTAGATCAGAAACTCCTAGAGAAAAAAGATTGTCTAGATTCCTCTGTGCTTCTCACATTTGCGTAAAACTATGACATGCACCTGAAATGCACAGTAAACATTTGTTGAATAAATGAACCAATTATTTAAGGTTTATTAATATAATAGCCTGATTATTAGAGTATTTATAGGATTTGAATAAGAAAATGCATATGCACTTCAGGAAGCTATTCTGATCTTCCTTTCTTGTAGAATCCAACACTCACCACTTCCCTCACATGATCATTATTTCATCACTACATTTTGGGGATTATATATTAACTTTATGCTAGATTTCAAAAATCGGACTCAGAAGCTGTCACTAAGACGGATAATAGTACCAAGTATTTTTGGGGCCAAGTACCCATTACAATAGATGCTACCTTGTACATCACAAGGCTGAGAAGCCAGTAGACACTGCTACCAAATTCCAACTCTGTCACTTACTAGCTGTGTGAGCTTGGGCTAATTACCTCTCTTAGCTACATAATTATCCACAGCATGGTTTAACTGAATAAAGCACTTAACACAGATTTGCATATAGACAATGCACTATAATGAGAGTGTGGTTTTTTTTCTGCAAAAATACAGGAAACTGAAATTTCTTTTATTTCTTTTTCTTTCTTTCTTTTCTTTTTTTTTTTTCTGAGACAGAATCTTACTCTGTTGCCCAGGCTGGAGTACAGTAGCATGATCTTGGTTCACTGCAACCTCCACCTCTCAGGTTCAAACTATTTTTGTGTCTCAGCCTCTCAAGTAGCTGGGATTACAGGCATGTACCACCACACCCAGCTAATTTTTGTATTTTTCGTAGAGGCAGGGTTTTACCATGTTGGCCCAACTGGTCTCTAACTCCTGGCCTCTAGTGATTCACCCACCTTGGCTTCCCAACGTGTTGGGATTACAGGTGTGAGCCACCATGCCCAGGCCAAAACCGAGGTTTCTTACCGGCTCTGACAATAACAAGATATGTGACCTTCAATAAGTAAGTTCACTCTCAGAGACTCGCTTGATTTTCTTTAAACAGGACTGATACGACTAAGTCACCTGTCTGAAGGAAGGCTAGTGAATCTAGCTATAAAACCCTTTACATAAATTTGAAACTTCTTCCGATCGAAGGCTAGCCTAGGAAGACTATGTATGGAGAATCCATGGGTCAGCCTATTTGTTTGCTTATTTGTTCAACAAATATTCATTAGTCACCTACTATGTGCCATCCAGTGTTATAATCACTGAGTAATGAACAAGAAACAAGACAGACAACTTTCCCTCATTAATAGAGTTTACAACCCTTTAGGGGATAATAAACACATATCTATACAACATCAGATGGTAAGTGCTGTAAAATAATAAAGTCTGGTTAGGAGTAAGTATGAATAGCCTGGTCTAGAAAAGCCTCCTGGAGAGAATGGCATTTGCACAGAGACCTGCATGATGGGAGAAAGTAAACCATATAGTAAGTGGGCAAAGAACATCCCAGGCAGGATGAACAAGTGCAAAATCCCTGAGGTAAGAGTGTGTTTGGAGTATTTGATGAACAGCAAGTCAAAGGGTCTGGAGAAGACTGAGTGATGGCAAGAATTATAGGACATGAGGTCTGAGAAGAAGCGGGGCCAGATTATGGAAGGCTATGAAGGCCAAAGTGAGGTTTTTTTCTTTTATTTTAATTGCAAATGGAAGACTTTGGAGATAAATTCCTTATATTTTGAGGATTAGTCGGGTGCTGTGTGAGGAATAGATAGTGCACCATCCATTTATCAACAATTCCAAATTTGCTCACTTCTATTTTCACTCATAAAAGTCATTCATTGAAATAAACCTAGTGCCAGGTGGAAAGTCTGGGCTGTTTACTGTGGATGGACGTTTATTAATGACGTCTCCATAGGGTGGGTGCCGGATGGAGACCTGAGACAAGGAATGAACCAGGTCTGTGAAGTAACACCTGGAGGGAGTCCAGGCACAAAGAAGAGTAGATAAAAACTTTCCAAAGTTGGAAAGAACTTGGAGGATTTCAGACGCAAAACTGAGGCTAGTGTGCCTGGAGCTGAGTGAACAAGGGGAGGATGGTGCCAAGGTTAGCTGACAGGCAGTCATCAGATGGTGCAGAGCCTCTGAGCCATATAGAGGTTGAGTTTTATTCGAAAAGCAATTTTAAGCAAGTGTAAGCAAGAAAATGATCTGATTTTATAATTTTTAAATCTGTCTAGTTAAAATGGATGTGGGTATCAAAAAATTGTTTTTATTATTGAAGAATTTGGGACTACTGTCTTGCACAAGTGACCTAGGAGATATCGACACTTTCTCACTCTCCAGGTCCAGTCCTGTTAATACTACTTGCTTTATATTTTACAAATCTAGTCCTTTGTATCCAACCCTGCTGCTGCTGCCTTGGCCCAGGGTGTCCGTATCTGTCCAGTTGATTATTCTAATAGGATTCAAATTTGTTTCCCCTAAAGGGCAATTCGTATCGTGCCACATCTCTCCTTAAAATACTGTAATGGGTCTCTAACTTTTTTTTTTTTTTTTTTTTGAGACGGAGGCTCGCTCTGTCGCCCAGCTGGAGTGCAGTGGCACCATCTCGGCCCACTGCAAGCTCCACCTCCCGGGTTCATGCCATTCTCCTGCCTCAGCCTCCTGAGCTGCTGGGACTACAGGCGCCCCCCACCACACCTGGCTAATTTTTTGTATTTTTATTAGAGACAGTGTTTCACCATGTTAGCCAGGATGGTCTCGATCTCCTGACTTCGTGATCCACCCACCTTGGCCTCCCAAAGTGCTGGGATTACAGGTGTGAGCCACCGTGCCCAGCCAATGTGTCTCTAATTCTGAAAGTAAATATAAATCCCGGTTGGCCTGGACACTCTCAGTTTATACCTTTTCTCCCAGAGTAATTATTAGTAGCACCAACTCTCAATCTTCAAAGTTTCCTAGTTTGGCAAATCATACAGTGACGCTTAGGCATTTAGTTTCAAATTCACACTCTAGCGAGTTAGACAAATCCCTTCTAGGCCTAGATTCCTCCACCCTTGATTGCCCCCATCCTCCACTCTATGTATTTTTTTTGCATACTTACATATTTCCAGTATTTTTAAAGCAAAAACACCCTGCCTTCATTGTCTTTTCTCTTGGTTTGTATATACTTCCCCCACTATTTCTTCCCACAGCTAGCTTGTGTATGATCTTCAAATTTCAGAACAGGTTCCACATCCTTCTAGAATACTTTCCTGCCCTAAACTTAAGTTGTGTGCCTCTACTTGTAATACCATAGTTCTTTTTTATTTCCAATAACTAACACAAAGCCAGAAAATGTTGAAGGCTAGAAGGCAGGAAGGAAGAGAGGCAGGAAGGCAAGAAACAGGTAAGAGAGAAGAAGGAAGGACGGAAGGACGGCAGGAAGGGAGGGAGGGAGGGAGGGAGGGAGGGGATTTGTCTTACATATGGAAGATATTTCATAAATTTGACTATCATCAACATATAGTCTTTACTCTAACTTAATTACCATATTCATTATAAGAATGATGAGTAATTTCTAGTCTAAAATAATCTATTTTCTGACTGATATTTTGTCTTATTCTTAGAGCCCTGTAATACAATTGATGAGATCAGTTCCATTTATTTTACTGGTAAAGAAACTGAGACTCTCACCCTTTCTAATTGCTTTCAAGCAGCAGTTTTGCATCATTATTGGATTAAAACGAAGGTATACCTAGGATGCAGCTATGAATTCATATTTTAATACTCTGATGGATGACAACTGATTATAAGCTGCAGTTTCTCAATTTGTATTATCACAGATACTTCACTCATAGGCCTTTAGTCAAATCTATTTCCCAAGGATAGCTAAATTTAATTTATAGGTTTGTGCATTTCAAGTTAAAGGATGGATATTTGATATCAGAGAAGAGCTACTGGCCTGTATTATGCCAAATAGTAACGGAAATGAAAAATGGTCAAAATGAGGCTAAAGTTTTCTGGGACATTGTGCTGATTGTTTTGCATTTCCCCTATACTTCTCCAAGGTTCATTCTCTGCCTTTCCCTCCTCTGCACTTTCCCTGGGAGTCTGACATTGATGGACTCCATCTACCAGGCTTCCCTGACCAAAATCTTCCAGTTGGTTTGGACGCTGGAGGCACAGGCAGGCAGACAATCCAAAGGGAGGAAGCCAGAGAATATAGGTTTTCTTATCTGCTCCTTTTCTGTTTCCTTGCCATGCCTCTGGCTGTAGCTGTGACTCTCTATGTCTATAGGCTCCACCTGCAGCCACTTCTCAATAGGTTCGGCTCCCACTGGGGTGAGATAATTCATTTTTCTTCCCTTGTCCATTTGATTTTAGGGTGATATTGTTTTCTTCCACTTCTCATCTCTGGGTGGCTCACCATCCCTATTTCTCCCCTTATCCCTCCCTAGTATATGTAACTCTTTCATTACATTCTCTTTGGGATGATTTCTGTTTCCTGATGGGATCCTGATTTAAAGGGGAACAATGTCTTCATTTCTGCTAATAATCAAAACTTAATAATTAAGATTCACAACATCCTTGACACAAAAATTAATTAGGTGAGATTCTATCCAGCAGCAAATAATAAAATGCTGTGCTCAAAAGCCTTACATGAATCAGTTTATTCATTTAATATAACAAGAAGTCTGGAGGTGTATGGCTACTGATATTAATTTTGGACTCTATGATGTAAGTTCTGACATATCTTTGGCTCACTGTGTCTTTATTTCAGGATCACATGATGACTGTGCTACCTCCATCCGTCACATCTTTATTCAATCAGGAAAAGAGAGAAGAGAGGTCATAGCAACCATGTCTATCCATCTTAGTAACAATTTAGTTTTCTGGCCTGGCGCGGTGGCTCAGGCCTGTAATCCCAGAACTTTGGGAGGCCGAGGCGGGTGGATCACCTGAGATCAGGAGTTCGAGACCAGCCTGATCAACATGGTGAAACCCCTGTCTCTACTAAAAATACAAAAATTAGCCAGGCATGGTGGCGCATGCCTGTAATCCCAGCTACTTGGGAGGCTGAGGTAGGAAATCACTTGAACCCAGGAGGCAGAGGTTGCAGTGAGCTGAGACTGTGACACTGCACTCCAGCGGGGGCAAAAAGAGCAAAACTTCATCTCAAAAAAAGAATTTAGTTTTCTGGAGGCTACTCTCACAGACTTATGCTTAGCATCTGTTATAAGGTGAATTGTGTCCTCTTAAAAGTAACAGGTTAAAACCCTAACCCCCAGTACCTCAGAATGTAACTCTATTTGAAGATAGAGGCAATAAAGAGGTAATTATGGTTAAATAAAGTCATCTGGGTGGGCCTTCATTCAATCTGAGCTGTATTCTTTAAAAAGAGGGAAATTTGGACACGTACACAAGACACCAGAGATATTCACACACAGAGGAAAGACTATGAGGGGATGCAGGTAGAAGGCAGCCTTCTGCAAGTTAAGGAGAGAGACTTCAAAATAAAACAAAATAAAACCAACTCTACTGACACCTTGATTTTGGACGTCCAGCCTCCAGAACTATGAGAAAATAAATTTCTGTCATTTAAGCAACCTGTCTGTGGTATTTTGTTACGACAGTCCTAGCAAACTAATACAGCATCTTTTTGGTTGGAATTATGTTTTCAGACATCCCAGCTGTCAGGAAGACTGAGGAAATATCTAGATTTCCAGATATTTAAGGGAGGGACAGCAAGAAGGAAGTTGAGGTCGAGTAGCCACACCACAATGTTTGCCTCAGAAAATGTTCTTGTGATGTCATTTACACTGAATTGAAACATTTTATTGAGATAAACAAATCTCACCACAGATGTTAACTATAATAAAGCTCTTATTTTACTCTTTTATTGCTTCAAATAAAATAGATCCTTCAGATCAAAGAGATACAGGAAGGGAGTTGACCACTTGTGAAAGAAAGGCATAAACAGGATTTGATGAAGTGTTTGCTATCAATGGTACATCAGTCCATTCTCATACTGCAATAAAGAAATACCTGAGACTGGGTGATTTATAAAGAAAAGAGGTTACATTGGCTCACAGTTCTGCTGTACAAAAACATAGTGGCACCTCCCTGGCTTCTGCAAAGGCCTCAGAAAACTTACAGTCATGGAGGAAGGCTAAGGGGGAGCAGACACCAGACACATCACATAGCCAGAGCAGGAGGCAGAGTGAGATGAGGGAGGTGCTACACACTTTTAAACAACCAGATCTTGTGATAACTCACTCACTCACTATTGTGACAACAGTGCCAAGCGGGATGGTACTAAACCATTCATGAGAAACTGCCCCCATGATCCAATCACCTCCCACCAGGCCCCATGTCCAACTTTGGGGATTGCATTTCAATATGAGATTTCAGTGGGCACTACAGATCCATACCCTATCAAATGAAGAGAAATGTATTATACTAGCTTTCACCACAATTCCTTTTAGAAAAATACACCAACAGGCAACAGAAGAGACAGTCAAGTGTCTGCATGAACAAGTGAGAGGAATATGTAATGCAACTGGGAGTGAGGAGAAGGGAAAAGAGAATAAAGCAGCATAACGAGGAGATAAATACAGGACCAATGTTTATGAAGGAAGGTTGGGCACCAGGTACAGTGAAGTAATCAATGCCCATTGAGAAACTACAGTAGTTGAACAACCAACAGAATGAGATTAGAAATGTCTAATATATCCTCTGAAAAATTTCTAACATAGACAATTATTTCCTTTTCAAGTTTATTTTAAGGTGGAATGACATTTAAAGAAAGGGTTCCTGTTTTGTATTTTTCTTAGCACAAGGGTAAGGAAATACCATTGCAAGCGTCATAGAACAAGAAAAAAATTTAGTAAAGAAAGGAAATAAGAATTATAAGTGATCATGAGAATATAAGCATTTATCTTAGAGAGAGTTTTGAACATCAACAGTGTGATAGGCAGAATAACAGTTTCCAAAAATATCCACATCCTAATCTCTGGAACCTATGAAATGTTAGGTTACATGAAAAAGAAGAATTAAAGTTGCAGATGGAATTAAGGTTGCTAATCAGCTGATATTAAGATAAGGAGATTGTCTTGGATTATCCAAATGAGCTCAGTGTAGTCACAAGTTTTTTTTAAGAATAGAGGAGGAGGCAGAAGAGGCAGTCAGAGTAATGCAATGGTAAAAGAACTCAGCCTGCACTCTGGCTTTTGAAGACGGAGGAAGGGGCCACAAGCCAAGAAATGCAGGTCCCCTCTAGTAGCTGGTAAAGTCAGAAAATGGACTCCCCAGCTTGAGCCTCCAAAAGGAAATGTAGCCCTACATTTCTTACAGAAGTCTGACATGGTTGAACCAGGTTAAAATCAAGGTGCTTATTTTATCATTACAGAACTGTAACATAAAAATATTGTGTTGCTTTAAGCTACTTAGTTTGTACTAATTTGTTTCAGCAGCAAAAGAAAACTCATACACACAACTTAAAGGGTGGAAATTCAGAGGACTGCATTTTTATCTATATCATCCTTTCTTAACCAGTGGTTGAGAAGCCTCTCTTCCACAACTGCAGCTCTCACTGGGTTCTGGTAACACCATGAGGGCCTTTGCCCATTTTAGCTCTGAGGGTATTCAGCTCTAAGAACTCCAGCTGTTGCTGTCCCTGGGAGCTTCACCAACCTTTATTGATTCCCTAAATCATGCCCATGACTTTGTAAATAGACCCTTCATTCATTTCTCTTTAGGTAAGTCTTAAATGGACCAGCTCTTTCCCCTAGAGACCCAGACTAATATTCTTGGCCTCTTTGTCAGAAATGTCTTCTAAAAGATATTCAACAACATATCTACAGGTTCCTGACTTTTGCCTTTCTGAGGCTAAAACAAGCATCTCACTTGAGAAAAATCACCACTTGTTTAACTTTTACATAAAGAGAGGATATATCTGGGGTTTTTATTGAGAGCCACACTAAGTGAGATTGGCAATTCAGTATACCAGTAGAAGAAGAGAAAAGCTATTTACAGATTTTTCAGGGCTCAAGACAGTACGTCTTAAGAAGAAAAAAATCCCCATCAGTAAATGGGGATCATAAGCTTTTTAACTAGTAACTTCTAAACCCCTATTCTCGAACAAAGTATCAATCAGTCCATGGAAAACTAAAAATATGTTTAATTAAACCCATTGCTGATCTACTGGTTTGTCTTAGAAGTTCAAAGTGTTTTTAGGTCTAACTTTAATTCAATTATAATCTAATTTTTATTCAAGAAAGCTATATTGAGTAATTTATTTATTTGTCTTTGCTACATATAATCTCTGGTACCAGGGTTGCGGGTCATTCTGAATTTGGAACTAATGAGTTTTACTTAAGAGATCTATGGAACTAAGCAAGTGGAATTTAGCAATGTATAGAAAGAATTAAAACTATGACCAAGTAGAGTTAATTCCAAGTTCCCCAAAGTCTGGTTCAACATTTGAAAATTAATTAATCTAACTTGCCATGTTAACAAAGAAGAAAAATCAGTTGATCATATCAATTGATGCAGAGAAAGCATTTGACAAAATCCAGCAATGATTCATGATTTTAAAACTCTCAAACTAGAAAGAGAGGGGAATTTCTAAAACTTTACAAAGAACACCTACAAAACACTTAAAAATAATATCATTTTTGATCATGAGAAACTAGACCCTGTTCCTCCAAGATTGGAAACAAGGCAAGGATGTCCCTTTCACTACTCCTATTCAACACCATATGCTAAGTCCTAACTAAGGTAATAAGACAAGAAAACAAAATAAAAGGTATACAGATTAGAAAGAATAATACTGTTTTCATTTGTTTGTTTTTGCAAGTGACATGATTGCCTATGTAGAAAATCCCAATGAATCAACAATAAATCCTGTAACTAATAAGCAATTAAAACAGAGCTGCAGGATACATAAAATTGCTTTTTTACATACCAACAATGGAAAATTTAAATTTGAAATTAAAAACACAATACCATTTATATCAGCACTCAAACAAGAAGCACTTAGGAATAAATCTAATAAAATTGTGTATAGGATCAATAGAGGAAAGATCCAGAATAGTCAATATGATACTGAAGAGGAAAAGAACAAAATGGGAGAACTATACCACATGAATTACTATAAAGCTACAATAATCAATACTGCATGGTTTGGGTGAAAAAAGCTGGACATATCAATGGAACATAAGGAGCCCAGAAATAGATTAACACAAATATAGCCAACTGATCTTTGACAAAAGAGGAAAGAGAATTCGACAGAGAAAGTAATCTTTTCAACAAATAGTGCTGTGACAACTATATAGCTACGTGCAAAAAATAAATCTAGACATGATTGTGAAATTTGATGAGGGTAAAACAAAAACAGCTAGTGACAAGCCCTGTTAATACTGCACACATCTAGAAACCTTGTGTATGACTGTAGCTCCTATTAACACTATTGTTATCAATTTTAGAGTTAATGTGGTCTAGGCCTTTGAAAGATGACATGTTATCTTGGAATTAACAACATTGTGATATAGTTGATGATATTTAAGTTATATCATTTAGTACTGGGAATCTTTAGTACTGGGAAAATTGCTTAATATCACTGAGTAATGTTTTCTCATCTAAAAAATGGATATAAAGATATTGTCTTCCATTTCTGACATGGCCATGGAAATCTAATTCAACAATGCATGTGAGACAATAACCACAATATAAGCACCTGTTTGAATTAGGTTAACCTCAAGAAATAGCGATATGAATTTAAAACCAGTAGACTTAGGAAACATTGTCAGTGATATGTCCATTGTATCCCTAAGAACCACGCATATAAAATAGCATTTGAGAAATATTTCTTGGCATATGGGACTGAGTAAAGTTTTATTTTCCCTTACAAAATAATACCCCTTCCACTTAAGCAAACAATAATTTCTCATATATAATTAGATTATGATTCAGAAATTTTTATGGCCTTTTCAGTGCCACCTCCATGGAAGTAGACAGTTTCTCTGTCTCTTGACATTGGGTCTGACCATATGATTTACTCAAGCAATGGAATGTTAGTAAACATGGCAGAACCAAAGGCTTACAAGTACCTGTGATATTGGGCCTGGCTGTTTGACCCTTGCATTGCCATGAGAACATGATCTGGCTTAGCCTACATATCCAAGGAGGCTGAGAGATGCTGGAGTATTTTCTGTTTCACACCTGCAACTTGAAACAGAAAATAACAGACACTACAGTTCAGATCAGCTAAAACCCAGTCAAAACATAGATTTTAGCTCAGCTGAGGTTAACAGAATTGCTTAAGCTCACCCACAGATGCATAATAAGTAAATAGCATGAGCCACCAATATGTTATGGTTCTTTCAATGCTGTTATACTTCAATGCTTTGGCAACAGCTACCTAAAATACCATGTGTCTCATTTTACTTTTTTGTCTTCTAGGAAGCTCAGAAATTTGAAGCTCAGTTGTGTCTTTAAATTGTCTGTATATTTGGGCATTTATTTTACAGGATTTCAAGTTTTAAATTTTATATGCCTTTCTACTTTTTCAGATTCTGTATTTCTATTTTTAATTTACCACTGTTTTATTGCTTGTGTTTTCTCCTAAGTTTCTCACATGCTTTTAGGAATAAAACAGAATATTCATGTAAAATGTTGAGCACTTAGTATGTGCCTGGAATTATAAATATGGGTAAAATGTCTTCCATATTCTTTAGGATGTTATAGTCTTATAAAAGAGATAGACATCTAACAATAGATATAATGGTATAATATAAAACTTATAACAATATAATATAATAGCAATAGATATAATAGCGTATAATGTGCATACAAAGGTATATAGAAAGTATTTTGGTCAAGCATAAGAAGAAGCCACCAATTATGCCAAGGACTCATAAAATCAGACCAGGAAGTCATCACAGAGTAATATTTGAGCTTGATTTTGAAATATAAAAATTTCATTAAACCTGGAATTAGAAAGCATTTTTTTTCAGGTAACTTGAAATAATTCGATTATAACTACAGTTTGTAATGTGAAGCAAGAAGGGACAAAAAAATTTTGTAAACATTTGTCTACTGTGCAAAAATGAGTGTCACATCTAAGGGGAAAATGAATGATGTCAACAGAGACATGGAAACCATAAAGAAAAAATTGAAAATAAATGCTAAAAAAATGAAGATTGACTCACATAGGCTCATCATTAGACTCAATATAGACAAGGAAAGAATCTGAATTTGAAAATAGGTCACAAGAAACTTCCCAAACTGAAACACAAGGAGAAAAAAAGGAATGGAAAAGAAATACAGAATAAAACATTCAACAGTGGCTCATGCCTATAATCCCAGCACTTTGGGAGGCTGAAGCAAGAGGATCACTTGAGGTCAGGAGTTCGAGACCATCCTGGCCAACGTGATAAAACCCTGTCGCTACTAAAAATACAAAAATTAGCTAGACATGGTGGCGGGGGCCTGTAATCCCAGCTACTTGGGAGACTGAGGCAGGAGAATTGCTTGAACCCAGGAGGCGGAGGTTGCAGTGAGCTAAGATCGCACTACTACACTCCAGTCTGGGCAACAGAGAGAGATTTTGTCTCGAGAAAAATTCAAGAACCATGGAACACTATTAAAAAGTATAGCATATCTGAAGGGAACAGGGACTCACTAAGGTTTTTAAGCAATGGAATATCATCCCAATGACTTTATAAGTGTTTTAAAATTCACTCAATAAGAGAATGTGAAAGAGACTGTCAATCCTACATTAGATATTTAATATGCATTTATTCACGTATAAACACACATTAGATATTTAATCTACATTTATTCATACATAAACACACATAAAAAGTGAGATTTTTTGTGACAATAAATAACAAAAATTCATGTTTAAATAAAAAGTAATTATCATAACAGTAAGTGTAGACTTTAGCTACGCTTTTGCATAAAACGGATTGAAGAAATAAGCCTAAAAGATTCCTTTTCTTTAATTTTCAGAATTTAGAGTTTTCAGATCAGGCACAACATATTGAGTTCTACCCTTGAAAATTTGCACAGAGTTTCATGAAATGCCTGAGTCTAGAACTAGTGAAAAAACAAGAGAATAAAAAGTCATATGTTTGGTTTGAAGCTTTTGTGGCAGATTCATTCCCATTTATTTGTCCACATCCTCAGCAATAACTTATTATTCATTGATAACAAAGATCAGTCAGGTTCAGTTATAAATCAAAATTTACAAATGGGATAGAATAGGGTTCCCTAGGCTGCTCTGGTTTTCTTTGATCCCATTGTCAGTATGTATTTCTAGACAGTAGTGATAAGAATATTAGTCTTGATATTTTACCACTCATTATCTCTTCACCTATCAGCATCCAGTGTGTTGGAAATATCTTCAACACAATTGTAATTATAATACATTGACCTCAGTCTTTTTCATTCCTGAAGGGAGGGAGGGGCTGACAAGGGGCTAATTAAAACCTGGCACCAGGCATGAGTTTTGAGAGGTAAAACCAGAGGGGAGCATCCTCCCAGAGCTGAAAATTAATCACAAGGGATACCTTGTGGGATTAAAAAGGGAAATGAAACCACTTCAAGTTCAAAAGCCAGGAGGAGAAGTAAAGACAAGCCTGAGAATGGGGCAGGGCATCATCAGAGACAGAGGCAAGGAGGGTCCAGGATAAATTCCTGGAAAGAATCATGTATTCACCCATTCTTGCATTGTTATAAAGAAATACCTGCTATTAGGTAATTTATAAAGAAAAAAGATTGAATTGACTCACGGTTCTTCAGGCTGTACAGGAAGTATAGTGGCTTCTGCTTCTGGGGAGGCCTCAGGAAGCTTCCAATCATGGTAGAAAGCAAAGGGGGAGCCGCCATCCTACATGGCGGGAGCAGAAGAAAGACACAGTGAGGGGGGAGGTGCCACACACTTTAAACGACCAGATCTCATGAGAACTCACTCACTATTGCAAGGACAGCACCAAGGAGATGGTACTAAATCATTCACGGGAAATCTGCCCCCATGATCCAGTCACCTTCCACCAGGCCCCTCATTCAACATTAGGGATTACAATTTGACATTACTTTAGTGGGGACACAGATCCAAACTAAATCAAATCATAAACTCTACTGACATTAATATAAGTATGGTAGATGCATGAAGGTGTTGAACTGACTTCCAGCATGACAGCAAAAACTGTGTCTATTTTAGAGTGATCTAAAACTCATTTTACATATTCTTGGTTGATGACTGTGACCAACAGCAGTCTTCTTACCATATTGGCACTGGAAACATGCAATCATCCCATTTTCAGTCAAGTGGAATTCAGCACAAAATAGGTCTACTTTAAGCCAAGATCTTTAGTTATCAGGGGTTTCAGGGTTACAGGGGGACTTTGACCTATGAACCATTTTTTGGTGGGTTATCTTAGATCAACCCTGCCAAACAAATGTATATCAGCTCATGTATATTTTAAGGTACATATTTCAAACTGCTATGAGTGATTTTTAAGAGGTGGGAATCCAAAAATTAATCTAATGATCTATGCTAAAGAAAAGAGATTAAATAAAAAGTTCAACTGTGTGACTCATCCCATGGTTTCAACCCATAAACACATGGAAATGTCATGTAGCTTGGCTGCCAATAGCAATCAATTTGACTGGGTGACCAACACTGGTTTCTGAGCTGCTTTGTAGGCCCTACAGGATGAACGTTAACAAGTTTTTACTGACAGTGACCTCTCTCAACCTCCTACAGCAACAAAATTGTCCTGACACATCAAGGAATTTTGGAGTTTCAGAATGAAGCTTCAGAGTCTTCCCACAACTATTCGCCAAACGTTAGTGGCAAATCCAAGATCTCATTAGTTAGGCTCCTCAAGGTGTAGAAACAGATGGTAGATAATATATGTCTATCCAACCTCCCTCAGAATTATATAGGTCTATTCCCTCAGGCACATAGGGACAAATTCTCTTTCCTTATCTTCCTGTTTCAACCTTGATACTAAAATGTCTTTGCCCACTTTTCTTAATTGGATTTCTTCTAACCGCCCCCAACACACACATTGGCACACATCCTCTCTATTCCCAGGGTAATATTTTGTGTAGTTCTTGACACTGATAACTTTGCACAAGAGCTTTAGTTTATCACACAGTTATGAGCAAACAAGTCAGGAGAAACTAAGAATTATTTTTAATTTTAGGGAATCCTTAGGGAAAGGAACTTTCTAAATATCTCATTAGGTTCCTTAACTACTCTTACATTTATTTGATAATAGTTTAATTTTTTACTGGAATAGTCCATTAGCAAATCCTTCAGTTTTCAAGATTACATTTTAAACTTGAAATTTACTATGTTCTTGAAATTCAATGCTCTTTTCAAAACTGTTTCTATATTCAACATATTAGCCTCCATCTTTTGTTGCAATCAAATATTTATTATTTTTTTTTTATTTTTCAACCTATCTGCTATTTCTGTAAGTTCAGGCTTTCCTAGTTGAAATGGAAAGAAAACTGAACTTGGAGTGAAAATGTCTGAGTATAGATACTAACTCTGTTGGTTTATATTTATGTGACCTTGGGAAATAACTTGAATACTTGCTTTAGATTCAGCTTCCTCATCTCCAAATGAGAATATGAAAACTTACATAGCTTATAGAATTTTCATAAAATTAAATTAGGTAATACAAGTGAAAGTTCTTGGCAGGTATTGGGTGCTTGATAAATATTTGACACCATTCAATTTTGTGCTCTCCTTGCCCTTAACCTCGCTTCCAAAATGTTTAGGGCCACTATGATGTTAATATGCTTGCTCAGATAAGACGGAACTAAGCAATAAATTCATTAAGGCATTCATATTTTCTCAGGAAACAAATCCAAAACTTTTCTTCAAAACTGTGACTTTCCACAAGTCTAATGATTGCTGAGGATAATGGTGAAATTTAGACAAAGTTCCTCCAAAGGACGATGATTTTTTTTTTTTTTTTGAGATGGAGTTTCACTCTCGTTGCCCAGGCTATGGTGCAACGGCATGATCTCAGCTCACTGCAACCTCCGCCTTCCGGGTTCAAGTGATTCTCCTGTCTCAGCCTCCTGAGTAGGCGCCTGCCACCACACCCAGCTACATTTTTTTGTATTTTTAGTAGAGACAGTGTTTCACCATGTTGGCCAGGCTGGTCTTGAACTCCTAACCTAATGATCTGCCTGCCTCTGCCTCCCAAAGTGCTGGGATTACAGGGGTGAGCCACTAGGTCCGGCCAGGACAATGATTTTTTTTTTTTTTTTAAGGAAAGGGCAAAAGAAAAGTTGCTACTCTGAGAACATATCTGCTATTTACTATCTATCTACTCTTTGTTCACCAGCCCTCTCTCTTCTTTCCCCATCACACTCCCCCCTCCTCCTCCCTTCTACTTCCATTCCCCAGCTCACATTTTTCCTACCTCCACAGTCCATAGATCCTCAAATGGAACTCTATGAATTTCAAAATCCAAGATCTTAGCAAATACCAGCTCATACCTGTAGCCCTTTGCAACGTTAAGTGCAGCCTGCAGGTGACCAGCATAATCATCAACCTGAAGCTCCTTAGAAATGCAGAATCACAGATCTCTAGAATTAAAATCTACAGTTTAACAAGATTCCCAGGTGATTCTTATGTACACTTAAGTTTGAGAAATATCGCCAATAGTTCTCAACTCTGGTTGCATGTTGAAAATCACTTGGAGAACTTTAAAAATGTTACATGTGTCTACTCCTAGCCCCCAGGAAAGATTCTGATTTAATTGGTATAATGTAAGGCCTGAATATTAGTGCTTTTTAAAAGTTCCCAGGTGATTCTAATGTGCAGTCATCATTGAAAGTCTCGCTCCTGCCCCAGGTGTGCTTTCATGCAGTAATGCTTAGAAATACCTCAGCTCCCTTATCAATAAGGACTTAAATACTTAAACAGCTTTACTCATTTAGCAACATCAAAAAGGCTAAACAAAGAGATATACTCAAAAACCCTCCCTGTATTATTACTTACAACCGCATGTGAGCATACAATTAAAAAACAGATAACAATTTTTAAAGTTCACATGGACACACACATTTTGTTCTGCATATTTGTATAATAAAACCTAGGTCTACAGACTCACATATCTCCTATTGCCATTTAAAAAAAATAAATACAGTTACATTAAAGGACTCAGAGGATTCCAAATGAAAAGTGTAAGTCTCTCTTCTCCAATAAATCTATCTTCCCAAACATAATAACTATTAGTATTAACTTTCATCTTCTAGAAAAAAATTATACCACATAGATTCTTTTTTATTTTCACAGACCACATTCTGTTCTTTATATTGATCTTTTCAGTATATTCCTTATTCTTCTCCATGACATGTTTTTCACCTCTTTGCTGATTTAAGTTCTAGTTTAATACAGGTCTTTTTGATTCTTCCCTAGTGATTTTTGTTCATTTTTCTACAGCACAATATTAAATGATTGGCCTTATACATCTATTGGCACAATTTAGTGAGAACATCTATAAAGTGTGTTTTAGTGTTATAATTCTTGGAACAAAAGGTACAAGAAATTTCAGTGTATACACGTGTTGTCAAATTGACACTAACGATGTACACATCCACTTTCTCAGCACCAGTATATGCTTTTGTTCTTAGCAGTTCAAAATATCATTGAACTTTTTATTTGACTTTTGTCAATATGACAGATAAGAAATGAAATGCTATAGTTGCTTAACATATTACATTTCATGATGTATGAAGTCAAACATGTTTTCATATGTTTACTGTTTGTCTGCTTTTTTGTAAACTATACCCCTTTATGATTTTTTATGTTCAACCCAGAAAAATTAAATTCAGAAATCAGATGTTGAAGGGTCATGTTTCGTCTTCTGTGCTGAAGTGTTAGAAAAAAGCACTAGAGAGAAGAGCCAGGGCAGAGAATAGGGCCATAATTGATATTATACCAATATCCACAGAAGCATCTAGAGGATTCCCTGGTTCACAGATCTAGTTCTTCAGCTCTCTGATAATTGAATGTTGATGAGCTGAGGCTAGAGAGAGTCTGTGATGGAAAGAGGGGTTTATGAGGCTTGACAAATCCAATTCTATTGTCTCTGAGCCACTGATTCAGCATCAGTTCCTATACCACTTCAGGAATGGGATGGCCTTGCACAGAAACAGAAGTCATCCTGCATAAGAAAATGGCATGCTTGTCTAAGAGAAAGCTCAAGGTTGGAAAAGGCCTAGTTAGAGGTTGAGATCCCTGAGACAGACTGCCAGAAATATCACTAGTGCCAAAACTCATTTACATAGCTTTGGGCTGGGATTGGATTCATCATTTAACAATGGCTGACAAAAGATTGTCTTCATCTCTGATATCTTGCCCCAGGAGAAGAGACAGAGTGACTCTATTAAACATCCCTTCATCCCATTCTCCATCAAGAATGGATGGTGATATATGAGTAAGAACCTTTCAAAGAATTACAAGGACTTACTAGAAAAAAATGTGCAAAGTCCCAGTTTAAACCAAGGATATTCTTTCCAAAAGGTACATTGGCAAACTAAAGTAATTATTAAGATAAAAAAAAGCCAGGCACCAGGAAGTTCACCTAATAACAAAATCTTAGTCACTGAAGAGGCAGAGGGATTCTAAATAAAACATGGTGTCCCTTCTAAATGCATTTTCTAGCTCAGTTCCTATTATATAGATACCTAAATCCCATAAGAGAGCAATAAATAAAAACTGAAAGAGATCATTTTAAAAATCCCTATTACAGATTAGGGCACATTTTGTATTCCTTTATGGATCCAAATATGTAATTTTAAGAAAAAAAAAGTTATTCTGCTTCTGAAAGAAGCCTCTCTTCCTCTTTTAAAAAACATTGTATATTAGGCCAGGTGCGGTAGCTCACGCCTGTAATCCCAGCACTTTGGGAGGCCGAGGTGGGAGGGTCACCTGAGGTCAGGAGTTCGAGACCAGCCTGACCAACATGGTGAAACCCCATTTCTACTAAAAATACAAAAAGTATCCATGCGTGGTGGTCCACATCTGTAATCCCAGCTACTCAGGAGGCTGAGGCGGGAGAATTGCTTGAACCCGGGAGGTGGAGGTTGCAGTGAGCCCAGATCACGCCACTGCCCTCCAGCCTGGGTGGCAGAGCAAGACTCCGTCTCAACAACAACAACAACAACAAGAATTGTATATTAATATACTATAATAATATATGGTATATAATATATAGAATGATAAACTGTATTATAGTTTAATAATTTTTTGTTTATTATATTATTTTGGCTTCAGAGTACTCAGAGATGTCTTGTATCTTAACCTCACCATAGTAACAGAGTCACCCAGGAGGTTTGAGTCAGTGATTCTGGAAGCAGTGTCCCTTAGGAAGAGGTGGCAAATTGTGGAAGTGAGCTCATAGCCAGAAGAACATGTTGGGAGGCTGAGGTGGGAGAATCTCTTGAGCCCAGGAGGTTGAGGCTGCCGTGAGCTGTGATCACGCCACTGCACTCCAGTCTGGGTGATAGAGTGAGACCCTGTCTCCACACACAAAAAAAAAAGATACCTGGGGGAAGCAGCTCACCTGTGAGCACAAGAGGATGGGACAAGGCAACCTAGCATAGCTTAGCGGGCAGAGGTAGGATCATTGGCGTATAGGCAGACAAGAGGCAAGGAAAGATGATGAATGTCATGTGACAACATGCTAGACATGATGATAAGAGCACCTGATTCATATCCAGGTGGCTGCAGAAATAATTATGGAAAAAAGAGAAGGTGGATTCTTCACTAGCAGATAGAGCATTAACCAGTGAAATAAAAGCTATTACTTATTACGATACTACCAGGATATAGTAGGGAAATGCATTTACATGTGTATAGTTATTTATAACTAAAATCTGTAACAATATTTCAAATATACAGCTTATATGATGAAATAATATTTAAAGAGCTTAGGAAAAGGTAGATTGTAAGGAAAAAAAGAATACTAACCTGTATATACAATATGGTCCAAATAGTTGTTAAAGAAATATATAGATAGCGATATAGAAAAGATATAAAAATATTAATGCTACCATGTTATCATAGCAAAATTATGTTGTTTGCTGTTGTGATTGTTACACTTTTTAAATAACAAAAATAATGACACTAAAAGGCAGAATATAAAAAGCTGAATTAAACAGATTAAACAGACAATTGTAAACAGTGCTGTGATTAATATTCTTACACATACTTTTTGCTTACTGGTCTCATTATTATTTTATGTAAAATAATATAAGATTAAAGCCAAAAGGAGCCATAAAAACTACATAATCTGAACTTTAAAAACATACTTGAATGCTACTTTGAAAACTGTTAATAAAGCTTATCTGGATGAAAGTATACAGGTAATTTTTATTGTTTTTAATAAAAGTTTTTTCATTTTCTTCTACCTCCTTTTCCTTCTCCTTCTCTTACTCCTCCTCTCTTCTTCTTCTTCCAATTAATCAGGCAAATAAGTGCTCTAAATCTGTTTAAATATATCTATGTTTTTACTTCACACATATTCTTCTGCCTTGTATTTTTTGTGATGTTGTAGAAAGCAACAATACCATAGTTTTGAAAGCATATTTGAGTCTCATCCAATCCATGGAGGTGACCACTCTTCCCACGTCACATAATACTCCTGGGAAGATCTGATATGCAGAAAATAATGAGCTGTGCCCTAAATTGACATTAGAACATAAGCTCTGTGAAGGCAGAGATCTTCGCTCAATCCCCTAAGTTGATGGGATGTAATAGCTGCCTACCTATGCCAGGTATGGTGGCTCACGCCTGTAATCCCAGCACTTTGGGAGGCCGAAGTGGGTGGATCACCTGAGGTCAAGAGTTCAAGACCAGCCTGACCAATATGGTGAAACCCCGTCTCTATTAAAAAATGCAAAAATTAGCTGGGCATGGTGGTGTGCCCCTGTAGTCCCAGCTACTTGGGAGGCTGAGACAGGAGAATTGCTCGAACCGGGAAGGCAGGGGTTGCAGTGAGCCAAGATGGCACCACTGCACTCCAGCCTCGGCAACAGAGCAAGATTCCATCTCAAAATAATGATAGCTGCCTAAGATCAACTGGGTAATTAGTGTTGTTCGATGCTCAGTTGATATTGTTAACCCTAGGTTAACCATCTTGATAGTAGATTATACTTTTTAAATAATCAAGAGAAAACTTACTCATGTATTTTCCATCCATTGATCCAAATTTAGGATTTTTAAAACACTTACCAGGTCATTTTGATGCCTATCAAAATCCAATGAACCCCACCCCACAGTTCTTGCCACCTCCATGCCCCAGGGGACAGGGAAAAGTTTCTGGGTTCCAAAAGAGTCCAGCCCACTTTTATTTTCTCTCCAAATCCTGTGTGATGGAGAATGGGCAATTTGTTTTCCAAACGTTTGTTAGTAAAGTATTTCTGCAGATCGAGTGTTGATTTTGTGTGCCATTATTCACTCACAGTACAACTCATATTGACTTGAAGTCTTTTTTATTGCTTTCTTAATATTGTTCATATCCATTTCCACCTCTTCCATTGCCACTTGCCAAAATTACCATATTTTCCCATCCTCAATTGCATTACCCTACCTTTAATCATACTCCATAATGTAATCAGAATGGCAGAAGTGGCTTTCAACTATGCAAATCTGATCTTTTCACTTTGGTCCTTGAAATCATTTAGTCTTTTTTGCTTACAAGAGAAAATTAAAATTTTTTATTTTACCAAATAAGGCTTTCATAATCTGACCCTTTCCACTTTTTGCACTCTTCTCACATGACTCTTACACTGGTTATATTTAATTACTATATCTATTTGAAATCAATTAAATATATGTATAAATATTTAAACTGATATATTTAATTACTTCTTGTTATCCCAGCTGTTTCATGCCCTTGAACCTTTTAACTTCATTCTTTATGACCGAAACATGCTCTCATAGACACCCTCAAGTTAACCTTTTTATATAATCATTTTTTTCAAGATTTGGCTTAAGCATCATTTCCTCTGAGAAGTTGCCCTTTTCGAGCTGGGTTAAAGCTCTCATCTCTACCTTCATTCTTTCATAATACCCTGTGCATGCATCTATCTTAATGCCTTCTATTTCATTTTTCTGGTTGCTTGCGTGTCTCTACAATTAGAATGTGAGTAAATTGGAGATATTTTCAATTGTTTGATTCATTCTTGTATTGCCAACAGGAACTGCAGTTGATTATACTTACTGAGGTATTTGAAGATCATTTATTAAATAAATGCACACATAACCAACAAAAAATCTTCCAAAAATACCTTGCTGATAAATGTTTTAATAAAATTTCCTCTTTCTGTGAGTGTTTATGGTAGAATAACAAACCAATGTGGTGCTTTTCTTTCTTAGAATCCAAAGCCTTTTCCCTATAGGCTGAGATATGGCATGGCAAAAACTATAGAGTAGCAATTCTTAGACCTTGGTTTACATCAGAATTGCTACCTTCCCCCTCAGAAAATCTCAGTGATCAGGGTTAGTGTCTGACTTGGGAATATGCATTTTAACATATGATTCTGATGCACACAGACATCTGAAAACCAGAACTATAGAGAGTACCTTGCATATTTTCTATGTGTTTTACCATGTTCGAAAAGCCTTAAATAGGCATTAACATGCGGCTCTGTTTTAACTAAGATATTTTATTTCATCCTCTGGGACTATTATCTTGTCTACTCTGAAGTCAATAATTTCTTGTTTTGATGCTCTAGCAAAAATGCACCCCTCCCAACACATCACTCCATAAATTTAAATTATACCATAGATACTAAGTCTTGGAAGCTTTCGATGTCTTATTTTAGATTGAGTCACCCCCTCCAGTGCCATCAACTATGGATCAAAATATCTCTCAGGTGACCCCCTGGGACTCTGCTAACTTATAGAAGCAACTGCACATGGAGTTCCTCAAGAAGATTTCAAAATAACCTGAGCTCTTAAGGTGTCTAAATTAAAGGGAACCTATGATTTTTGGAGCTCTTTCTCTCAAACATACAGTATCTTGTATGGCATGTTTTGCCCCCAAGCAAGATCTTCATTAATTTATAAAATTCACACAATATGATACAAAGGAATATTTGGTCTGATACAATAACATAATGCCCTCAGGGAAAGTACTTTTAGAAATAAAAATTAATGATATTCTATTTTGACTGTTTTTGTAGACTTAAAAGATGATTTAAAAAACCACCAGGCCAGGCGCGGTGGCTCACACCTGTAATCCCAGCACTTTGGGAGGCCGAGGTGGGCGGATCACCTGAGGCTAGGAGTTCGAGACCAGCCTGACCAACATGGAGAAACCCCATCTCTACTAAAAATACAAAATTAGCCGGGCGTAGTGGCACGTACCTGTAATCCCAGTTACTTGGGAGGCTGAGGCAGGAGAATTGCTTGAATCTGGGAGGCGGAGGTTGCAGTGAGCCGAGATCATGCCCTTGCACTCCAGCCTGGGCAACAAGAGCGAAACTCCATCTCAAAAAAAAAAAAAAAAAAAGAAACACCAATAGGTTTCTTTGTATTTTAGTGTTTTTGTGGCAGTATACAATGTGGAATTTTATTTATTATTCTTATTATAGTCCTTCAGAGTACTTATAAATCAATTATGCAGAAAAGTAGCTCTTGTTTTCACTCAAAAGCCTTAATGCCTTTCCTTTACCATAGGAGAAAAGATGGCAAGAAATGAGCAGTTAACTATTCTCATTGCCAAAGGAACATTTAGATGAGATCTATATTTTGCTATGAATTTGTGTATTGTGGACTTGTGAATATACAAATGGCAAGTGTCAGTACCACTCTTCAAAATGGTATAGAAGACTTATTAAAGTCAATAGTTCATATTTGCATTAACAAGGACTTTGACTTGAAGTCCATATGCTGCTTCATAAGAGGAAAGGGAAACGTAACTTGATTTGGACAGACTAAGCAGAGAGTCTGCTTTCTGATGATTCCTTGTGTTCTAAATGGGAAAAGATCTGTGTCATCTCCTTAGGGTATGAACCCCTGATGCCAGATACAGTGCCCCAGCCCATTGTTTTCTAAACTTAGATACAGGAATGCTAAGCACCAAGGATTCACTCCAATCTTAAGCACCAGGAAGGCTGTCCTTTAAAAGTTGCCTAGGCAATACAAATTTTAGTAATAATAGCATTACTTAATGTTCATGAATTTAGCATTGTGCTAGGTGTGTTATTTTGTACAAACTAAGTTAATCTGTACTGTATGAAGTAAGCATTTTATTATTCTCACTTTATAAGTAGAAAATGAATATGCAGAGAACCTAAGTGACTTGCCTAAAGTTGGAAAACAGAAGCCAAGACTTAATCTTGATCTATCTAACTCCACCTCCTGAACTCCTAGCCCTGTGATGAATTCCAGCATTGCTCTAGAACAGCCAGCACTTAACTGCAGACAGCAAACCTGTATTTAGAATAAGAGAGCTTAGCCATTGTCCTTGGTATGCATCTCATTTTAAAATTATTTTTTCATTTTGAATTTAGTCTATGTCTCTTGCTAATTTTGGTATGTAAAAAAAAATTTCTGCCTCCTAGCTCTGAAATTTCTCATGTTCTTACGTCCATGGAAAGTTTTGAAAATTATCCATTTTCTCATTAAGTGGCTATCTTTTCTTCTCAGATAGCTTTAGTAGTCTATTTTTTTACATAAATGAACCACTGAAGGAAAGCAGTAGGAACTGTTCTGTAAATGTAATGCAAAAATATGTGCAAAAGGTAAATGATGGTGCCTAGTGCATAGAGAGCAGTCTGTAAGTTCTACTGGCTACACCATTCCTTTCCTCCAAGACTGGTCCAGAAAGGCCTTAGGCTCTCTGACCATATGGAATGTCTTGCTTGAGTTATATCTGAGCAATAAAGACAGAGACATTGAGATTCTTCCTGCCAATTTTATGAAGAAGCAGAAAATTATGCCCTTAGTGTGTGCCAGAAAACTCAGAAATTGTCCTCTTGACATTACCTAAACAATCACACCACCCTTTTCTCTGCTAACGTTACTTTGCAATAAAACTGTAAATAAAAAGGTCAAAATCTTGAAAACTGGGCATTTTGCTTTCTAAAATTCAGGACCATGTAGACAAATAACGTTTATATTCAGAAGGAATTCTAGCATTCTGGTACTCTCCATTTAAATAAATTAACTCATATATGGAATGGCATCCGGGTGTAAATCAAAAAAGTTGTGAAGATCAGGAAATATAATCTTATATTTTTATTGGCCACTTATAAATTATTCTATAGTTCTTTTTGAGAAAAAATACATATAGTTTATTTGGAATATGATTCAAATTTCCAAGGAATTCTGTGTGATACACATAGTTTCTATTTTATCTCTTTCTCTCTTTTTTTTTTTTCACACCTCGGCTGGCAGAAAAATTCCCTATTTTAAAATAAGAAACTAAGGCCTTGAGAAGTTCATCACTTTGTTGAAGGACACACAGCTAATACTGCAATGATGTATGCTTCTCTGCCTGGGTCTCCTAGACAACCAGCAGTCAGACAAACTACGCTAGGCTCCCAATAAAAGGAGCTCACTCCGGCTCAGCATCCTAGGTGTCTAGGGCTTGCTTCCCCAGAGAACTGCAATACTGCACAGGACCCAATGCCTAGTGTCTGATGAGAAGTCCCCAAGAGGGAGAGAGGACACAGGGGAACAACCAGACTAGAATGATTTCCTCTGTGTCATGTTCCTCCAGTGCCACTACCTCTAACCCTGATTCTCCTTCTCTTCAGGCCTATTTCTGTCTCCTAACAGCTTCCAGAAATATGCTTTAAATTAATTCACCCAGTTATTTTTAATGGAGTTGAAGTTATTTTCAAAAAATTAAATGCCATCATATTGGCAACAATTCACAAAGCAAAGGAATTTGATCTGTGAAACATCATGGTACAATCACTGTACGTCCAAGCTTGTAATGCTCTATAAATTCATATGCACAATTCCATCTGGACAGGAAACTATGAGCCAAACATGGTCAGATTTACACATCCTTTTTGGAACTAGTGCTGAAAGTGTAATTTTAAACATTTAAACCCAGCATTACTTTTTAAAACTTAAAGTATGCAAGTGCAATTGAAGTGCACTAATGATTTTTAGTGTAGCTTTAACCTGCACTAATCAGAATTGCTCTCGTCGTTTGCAGATGGACTTTATTGAAATGGCTTTGCAGGATTTTGCTTACCCATTATGGCAGTTGGAAGCAGCATAATTTATTTGCGTTGCATCCTTCATGCAAACGGTATCCATTCCCCAAATGTTCTCTTGAATTAAATAAGGCAAGAGTGTAGAGAGAATAAATTAAAGAAAATCATAGCATGCAAATATTGTAGAAGGAATTAATTAAACCCTGCATGGCATTGAGCCAGAAAAAAAGAGAGAGAAACTAATAAGTATATTCAAGAACAGGAAAAAAAAAACTTTAGATGATATTTGGGGAAAATGGAATGTTGAAAATGATAGTGAATAGTTGAAACTGGCCTTATTATGAAGGAAAAAAATAGGCTATTTTACTAAAAAGAGATTAAACAGAATTCAGAGTTAAATGTGACTTCAATGTTAGATAAGTCTATAGCTAAATATAGAACAGGATGCTCTTTTAAGAAATGATCACAAATTTCATTCAGCTAAGATGTAGTTGTAGCATATTATGATGGGAAATAATTCAATGACATAGATTTTTTAGGTTGTCCGTGATATATTCAACTTCACTTTGGAAGTGAAATCACAATAATGACATGAAAAAGAATACACAGCACCTACCTGATGAATTCCGCCTAAACATTTCTGAGTAGTCAAAACAGTCATGTATTCTTCTAAAATAATGCCACTATTTCTGCTACTAAGATAATGAAGAAGTTGCATGTATGGGATTATTAGATCTTCAGATTAACTGTGGGTCTGAGATAATCCCTAGTATATTAAGCCTAGGTAAAAATTTCTTTAACTTGTCAAATACTGAATAAACTCATGAGATGGTGGTGGAGGTGTTAAAATACATATGTGATAAGAGGTACAAGAGAATTTTGCAAAGTTTTTAGAGAGCTAAGAGGAGGAATTCCTGAACTGGTCTGGGAGAAGCCAGGGAAGATTGCACAGTTGATATGACACTTGCATGGTGTCTTAAAAGATGACCAAAAATATAAAGTTGACAAGGACATTTTAGAACTAAGTAAGAACATGTGCAAAGACACAGAGGGATGGAGGTCTCTGTTCACCCACCTCCCAATAATCAGCAGTTCCTGAGCATGAAAAGAAGTGAGGAAAGAACAGGGAATGAAACTAGAGGGCACGGAGTGTTATGATATTATGTTGTGTGAATACAATATTTTATATGAAATATTCAGTGTTTATATGCAAGAACTAATTCAAACTCTTAACAATTAGACTATTATATAAGCAAAAAACAAACATTTCTGAGGGAAAATTCCAATTAAATAACCTGCCATTTTGTAATCTTTGCTCTAATATATACATATAAGAATAATACATACATTGACTTAATCATAACCCATGTTGTATCTAATCTTCTAGAAGCTTACATAACTCTATATTAACTATCAATACATTGTCTTGTAGTTCCTTTTATCTTAAAGTGAGTTACATGAGAGCTCCAATTAATCAATGTAACCATATCTTTTTAATTTTATCCTATAGGGCAAGAGACTGCATATTTATGTATGTAACAGAATCTTGCAGAATGTTAAAAACTTATATTCCTGGGCATCATCTTCATACCAGTAATATCGGAATCCCAAGACCCAGGAATATGCTTTCTCAGCAAGCCCCCCAGACTTTTCAGACACAATGCTGCGATAACCACATATCAACAATCTCTAACCTAAAGAATGTTCAGTGTGAATGAAAAGGTTTATCCTTTTTCCACTGCATACACTGAATAGGATCTGAAGTAGAGGATAATCAGAGTCAGAAAGCTGGGATAATCAGACTTTTAAATTAGACGCTACTTGATCATGGGGGAGCTAAGTCTGTCTCATTGATTCTTCTTCTTTAGACTGGCAGTCAAAACATGTTAGCAACAGAGAATCAAGCACTTCCGTATGTCAAACCTCATGATATGGCTCTGACATACATGCTACCTCTCTCAATCTTTAGCCAATGTGTTCACAATTACAAAAATAAAAATAAAAACCCACCACACTGAATTTCTCATCATTCTATGAACTTACAGAATTCTTTCATATGTCAATACTTTTGGAGAACCTGGGCCCACTGTCTGCAAAAGCCCTCCTTCCTGTTCAGTTCTTCACCTAGCAAACTCCCAGTCTGTCCTTTATAGACCTGAGCAAATGATACCTCCTCACTGGTAAAGCTCTCCCAGAAACCCAGGAGATTCAGTGCTCTCCCCTCTTCTTCCCACAGCAATTTGTTAATGTGGTTGTTAACATATTTCATTGAGATGATATTTATCTTACCATCTCTTTTGTGAGATCTTGAGCTACTGAGAATATTCAGCCTAAATGGTAAATCTAGTAGCCCTTCACAGACAACAGACAATGAACTCAGTTTTAAGTATTTGTGAAAAGATTGCCAAAGCAAAGGGCCCTAGAGCAATTAAGCCACAATCAACCCAGCCCAACCATGACTGAGTTAGTTAATAATCAAAAATCTTTTGGTTAAATTGAATTCTATTAAGAAATCCTAAACCAGCTCAATTACTAGATGCTACATTCTGTAGTCCATTGTCTTAACTGGTGAGATCTATCCCACTGTAACATCAAGGTTGTTTGTAATGTATGAGTTTTTGCTACCAGAAAGTTATAGTACTAGTAAAGGACAAGATCTCCACTAAAGCTCATTTAGTAAATTAGAGAGAGACAGCAGGTCATACCATAAAGAGCCTGGATCCTAAAGTCAGATAAGCCTAGGCTCAAACTTTACGTATTCCACTGTGTGACTCTGAACAGGTTATTTTATTATGAAAAGCCTCTATTACTTAATCTGTAAAATGGAAATTGTTTCACAGGGTGAAGAGCTAATTAGATAATTAAATATGTATTAAAGTATCCAGCATATTGGCTAGCTCATAATAATCACTCATAAATTTTTTATTGCTGTTGTTATACTGAACCGTTGCACCGGGCACAAGCCCTTTCCATTATAAAGCCTGGAAGAACTGAGGCATGAAGGTGGAATGTGATAGTTGATTGGGCCCAGGTTTACAAGGAGGGCAATAGCAGAAGGATTATATTGGCATGCTAGGACATGTAGTATCAAATTGTGTCTTGCAAACTACAAGATATATAAAGGGACTTGACCTCATCCATGTACTTATAAGTTGGTAGATTTGTTTTAAAGACTTTGAAAAGTCTGTTTTTGAGAAAATGTGGATGTTTAAAGTCACCTACTAATCAACGGATAGTGATACAGTTTGGATGTCTGTCCCCTCCAAATCTCATGTTGAAATGTGATCCCCAGTGTTGAAGGTGGGAACTGGTGTCTGGGTCATGGGGGCATGGCGTGATCTCGGCTCACTGCAGCCTCTGCCTACCAGGTTCAAGCGTTTCTCATGCCTCAGCCCTCCCAAGTAGCTGGGATTACAGGCATCTGCCAACATGCCCAGCTAATTTTTGTATTTTTAGTAGAGATGGGGTTTCACCATGTCGACCAGACTGGTCTCCAACTCCTGACCTCAAGTGATCCACCCCTCCTTGGCCTCCCAACGTGCTGGGATTACAGGCGTAAGCCACCATACCTGGCCCCCTTAATTATTTTGGTCTCAGAAATTTAACTTATCAGTGTGGCAAGAGTTAACTGGCCTCTTAGGGGCTGGTTCATAACAACCAAATTCTCAAGAGATAAATGATAAAGCAGACACTAACAGATTTATCAATTTACCATGGAAGAATAAACAGCAGATTTACTAATTTACCAAGGAATAAACACTTCCAACAAGCCCAGGACACTCTTCTCCTGCCATTAGATACCAGATACTTAGGTAGTTTGGAAATGGATGTGTTGTCAAAAGTTTGTCAGTAACAAAAAATCAGAGAAAAGAAATAGGATACTCTTGAGGAATATTTCAACAAAGATAAAGAAAAGCTAATGGTTTCTCCATGTCCCCTAATCCTGTTCATTTTCTAGTGGTCAGACTGTCTTTTAGATAAAGTGTCTCTATGTGGTACAAAATTCCTCCTTTTCTAGACTCAAGCAGATAAGGCCACTCTTTTGTTAATGGGAGCATGCACCTTGCAGATAATTCAGTGACAATTTTCCCTTCTTATAGCCTGGCCACTTTAGTAAAGCTTGGACATTGTCCATAATTTAGTCATTTATCCTCGTACCAGTTTGTAAACTGTATGGTTATGTCTGTACATGATTAAACTCTTGGATATTGTGTGCTGAGTCCTATGAGATACTCTCATGGAGAATGATTTTATCTACCTACAAGCATTGAAGACACTTTATCATGACTCCTACAGAAACGACAACACCAACTCTCACTGGTCCCATTAGGACACACAGGAAATTCTCTGCAAAAGGACTAGCAACTTTGACTCTTTGTAACATGACTTCATGATGGATGCTGCAGTCATTTCTCAAGGATACTTGTTAAGCATAGTCTTCGTTTTTGGTAGGTGATTTACAGAAATATTTAAATGTGTTTCAGCAAGTTAAACATGTCAGCACATGTCAAAACACTGAAGTTATAATGACAGTCTATGACCTTAGCACAAACATGATGTCAATATTGAGAGACCTCTTGTTATCATTAACATCCTCCTTGAACTGAGTGTCTTTGAAAGACTCTTTACCGAGCTCTTAAACAAATTAATTACTGCACATATTTCCTAATTGAAATATTCAGGGCATTAATTTTTTATGGAATTCAGGAATTCTAAAGGGTAGGAATAATTTGATCTTTCTCGGAGTGGGAAGAAGTTTGTTTCTAACAGGAGCTTAATAAAAGAAACTCTGTCTCTATTAATCATAATTAATAGATAATCATATACAATATAATCTAAATCAACATAATAAGAAAAATTGTTGTTTTCAAATAATAAAGTTCAGAAAAATAAGTTGCATCATTAAGTCTGGATACTTGGTACAAAGTAGGAACTGAAGAAATGCTGAATGAAACCTTTACATCTGCCATAATTGTGTAAAGTTTTAATTATGAACAAATTTTCATTGATTTTTATTTGAGGCCATGTTTTGGACATTTCTCCTTCAGTTTTAAATGAATAAATGCTTACCAAGAACTGGCTAAGTGTGATTCAACTCCATGTGCTAGTCAGGCACACCATGTTAGGCACTACGGTGAGTTAATACTAAGTTAGCATCCATGGTGAAACCCCGTGTCTACCAAAAATACAAAAAATTAGCCAAGCGTGGTGGCATGCACCTGTAGTCCCAGCTACTTGGGAGGCTGAGGCAAGAGAATCGCTTGAACCCAGGAGGTGGAGGTTGCAGTGAGTCAAGATTGCGCCCCTGCACTCCAGCCTGGGCGACACAATGAGACTCCATCTCAAAATAAATAAATAAATAAATAAATAAAAATGTAAAATAAAAATACTAAGCATTACAAAGAATTTAAATTTATTCCATGATATACAACTTTTGGGGTGTATTAATTTACCGATGTTCAGATTTGATATTATTTGATTGGACTTTGAAGACCATACTTCAATTACATTTATCAATTTCTATTTGTTTATCCTTAAAAATAATTACATTAATAATAAAAACATTTAGACTTGTAATCTTGTGACCTGCCTGCAAGTCATTTATCAAATAAATTGCTGATTCTTTAAATAGTTCTTAAGAGGACCTCCAATTTCAGAACTACTGGGTTAACTGTTTTCAATCTGTTCAATTATACAGTTTGATAACATGTATTTACAAAGCACCAGCAATGTGCTGAATCCTAGGAAAACAGTGTAAGTGAAAACAAATGAGATGCCATCTTCCGTCTGTGTGACTCTGCAAAGGCACGGCTGATGTCTTATTTTAGTATGTTGCCTTTCATTTTTGGCCATGTCTTACTACAAGGGCTCCTATTGCTATTTTTATTTTTTATTTTTTTTATTATTATTTTTTTTAGTATTTATTGATCATTCTTGGGTGTTTCTCGGAGAGGGGGATGTGGCAGGGTCATAGGACAATAGTGGAGGGAAGGTCAGCAGATAAACATGTGAACAAGGGTCTCTGGTTTTCCTAGGCAGAGGATCCTGTGGCCTTCCGTAGTGTTTGTGTCCCTGGGTACTTGAGATTAGGGAGTGGTGATGACTCTTAACCAGCATGCTGCCTTCAAGCATCTGTTTAACAAAGCACATCTTGCACCGCCCTTAATCCATTTAACCCTGAGTGGACACAGCACATGTTTCAGAGAGCAGGGGGTTGGGGGTAAGGTTACAGATTAACAGCATCCCAAGGCAGAAGAATTTTTCTTAGTACAGAACAAAATGGAGTCTCCTATGTCTACTTCTTTCTACACAGACACCGCAACAATCTGATTTCTCTTTCTTTTCCCCACATTTCCCCCCTTTCTATTTGACAAAACCGCCATCGTCATCATGGCCCGTTCTCAATGAGCTGTTGGGCACACCTTCCAGACGGGGTCGCGGCCGGGCAGAGGCGCTCCCCACATCTCAGACGATGGGCGGCCGGACAGAGACGCTCCTCACTTCCCAGACGGGATGGCGGCCGGGAAGAGGCGCTGCTCACTTCCCAGACTGGGCGGCCGGGCAGAGGGGCTCCTCACATCCCAGACGATGGGCAGCCGGGCAGAGACGCTCCTCACTTCCCAGACGGGGTGGCGGCCGGGAAGAGGCGCTCCTCACTTCCCAGACTGGGCGGCCGGGCAGAGGGGCTCCTCACATCCCAGACGATGGGCGGCCAGGCAGAGACACTCCTCAGTTCCCAGACGGGGTCGCCGCCGGGCAGAGGTGCTCTTCACATCTTAGACTGGGCGGCCGGGCAGAGGGGCTCCTCACATCCCAGACTATGGGCGGCCAGGCAGAGACGCTCCTCACTTCCCAGACGGGGTGGCGGCCGGGCAGAGGCTGTAATCTTAGCACTTTGGGAGGCCAAGGCAGGCGGCTGGGAGGTGGAGGTTGTAGCGAGCCGAGATCACGCCACTGCACTCCAGCCTGGGCAACATTGAGCACTGAGTGAGCGAGACTCCGTCTGCAATCCCAGCACCTCGGGAGGCCGAGCTGGGCAGATCACTCGCGGTCAGGAGCTGGAGACCAGCCCGGCCAACACGGCCAAACCCCGTCTCCACCAAAAAATACAAAAACCAGTCAGGCGTGGTGGCACGCGCCTGCAATCCCAGGCACTCTGCAGGCTGAGGCAGGAGAATCAGGCAGGGAGGTTGCAGTGAGCCGAGATGGCGGCAGTACAGTCCAGCCTCCGCTCGGCATCAGAGGGAGACCGTGGAGAGAGGGGAGACGGGAGAGGGGAGAGGGGAGAGGGAGAGGGCTATTTTTAGTAATATATATTTTAACTGGCAGTTCTCCGGCCAGATCTGTGGTTGCATTCTCTTATACTAGCCGGTCTCACACTTAAATCCATTGGCAGAGCATCTGAAAGATGCAGTGTTCTCTGCAGAAGCATAGTTAACCTGGCATAAAATTAGGAAGAATTCTTCCACGGCAATGTGACTCCATTACATTAATAAACTATACATTTATATGCAGGAATCCATCATTCCACACATTAAAAAGCTGTTAAATGAAGCTAAGTTGAGGGTTTTGAAAATAAATTTAAGCCAGTGAAAAGAGTTAAGTATTAAAATAATGTTATTTGAGAATGCTGAAGAATTAAACAATTAATGAGCACATTAAGGTTAAGAGAGGACATTCAAGAGTTGTCCTTCATTGGGGAAGAGGACACTAATCATGATGACAATCATGACTCAACAGATATGCTCAAAGACATACCCAGGTGTTATGTGTACCCTCACTTGCCTGACCCTTAAAAGTGGCCAGCAGAATGGTCAATGAGGTTTGAGAAAAGAGGGAATAGCAAGAGTGCAAGAATAACCCACAGGCTGACATGGTATCTTCATCAACCACCTGCAAAGTATCTGACACTTGCCCTGTATTCTGGCACTGATCACAATGGGCATTCAGGTCATTCGTGCTGCAGACATGCACATGTGTATATCCAGGTTATTAAATGAGCTCAACTCCATGAGGGTACACTCCTCCTCAAGACAGAGATCATGCCTTATCCAGCTCAAAGTTCTCTGGGCTGGAAACTGGGCCTTCACACAGAAAGTATTTTTCAAAAGTTTCTTGTGGATATTAATGAGCAAAATATTTTTCTAAATATAGTTGATGTAAATAACACATGTTGGGAAGACAAATTTATACAACACTAAAACCCAGCTATAAGGTAACTGCAGTTGACTCATTTCATTGCTAAAGCACAATCACTTGCTAACATCCTCTTCTTGGGCAGTCTTTTAAGTGGCCAGTTTGGCTGCTATAGGTAACATCATTTCCTGATGGACATCATCTTGGATAGAAAATAGAATACAGAATAACATTACAAGGAGCATCTTGCCTTTGCCTATGAGATAAGAAACTAGTGCTCTTCAAGGCTCAAAAACAAAAACAAAAAATGAAAACTGGGCACACATAAGAGGTCTTAGAATATTTGCTGTAGGAAACTTGGTCATTCAGAACTTAATGAGGCTTTATGTTGCCATTTTTTCTTTAAAACATGAAGTATGAGTGCCAACATTTTGATATATTACAATCTCTGTCTCCCATCCTGTCCTACTTTTAAGCCCCTTCTATTTTCTTCTGACTCATAATTTTTCAGTCATGTACCAGATGTAAGCACGACATCATGTATAAAAAAAAGGAAGGAAGGGAGGGAGAGATGGAGCAAGGGAGGAAGGAAGGAAGGAAAAAGAGAAAAAGAAATAATTTATTCTTGCTTTTTAGCATAAAGATTTAATGACACATTTCAAACATTTCTATACAATGGCCATGTTGACCATCTCATAAAACTTAACCACCCCCCAACACACACAAAAAATGAAAGAAATCCACCAGAGGATACTTAAAATCCCAACTTGGGAAATAGTTTTAAGGCCTTCTATTATGGGTTGAATTGTGCCTCCCAAATATTAATATGTTGAAGTCCAAATCTCCAGTACCTCAGAGTGTGACCTATTTAGAAACAGGGCCATTGCAGATGCAATTAATTAAGATGAGGTCATAACTAAGTAGTGCAGGCTCCTAATCCAATATGACTGATGTGTTTATAAGAAGGGAAAATCTGTACAAAGAAATAAACACAGGGAGAATGCCATGTAAAGATGAAGGCAGAGATTGGGATGATGCTTCTACAAACCAAGGAATGCCAAAAAAATGCCAGCAAACTACCAGAAGAGAGGCTGAAGGCATGGATCAGAGTCTCTCTCACAGCCCTTAGAAGGAACCAACCCATGATCTGGACTCCAAGCCGTTAGAACTGTAAGGCAATACATGTCTATTGTTTAAGCCACCCAGTTTGTGGTACTTTGTTATGACAGCCCCAGCAAACTAATATACCTTCTTTGAAGTCATTTACTGACAATAGGAGGGCCTGTCTTCACAAGGCAAGCCATCACCGTTCGTGCCCCCATTGAAACCATGCTATGGGATAAGCTTGAGTTCTGCCTTGGCTGAAGTTGTACAATCACTTACCATGGAAACCAACACCATGTCCTATTTTGTTCTCTTGTGATCACACAAAGCAGAAACAGGATTAGCACTGCAGCCACAAGTGGTCCCCATAGAGCTTATCTATATCTATATATATACATAGATACATAGATATAGATAATATATATATAATATATATCTATAGATAATATATAATATATATATAATATATATCTATAGATAATATATAATATATAGAGATATATATATAAGTATATGATAAATACAAAAATTAGCCAGGCGTGGTGGTGCATGCCTGTAATCCCAGCTACACGGGAGGCTGAGGCAGGAGAATTGCTTGAACCCAGGAGGCCGAGGTTGTGGTGAGCCGAGATTGCACCATTGCACTCCAGCCTGGGCAACAAGAGCAAATCTCTGTCCCAAAAAAATATATATATATATCTATATAGAGAGATATATATCTATATAGAGAGATATATATCTATATAGAGAGATATATATCTATATAGAGAGATATATATCTATATAGAGAGATATATATCTATATAGAGAGATATAGAGAGATATCTATATAGAGAGATATATATCTATATAGAGAGATATAGAGAGATATCTATATAGAGAGATATAGAGAGATATCTATATAGATATATAGATATCTCTATATATCTATATAGATTTATATATTATATATCTATAGATAGATTTATATCTATATATCCTATAGATAGATTTATATCTATATATCCTATAGATAGATTTATATCTATATATCCTATAGATAGATTTATATCTATATATCCTATAGATAGATTATATCTATATATCCTATAGATAGATTTATATCTATATATCCTATAGATAGATTTATATCTATATATCCTATAGATAGATAGATTTATATCTATATATCCTATAGATAGATAGATTTATATCTATATATCCTATAGATAGATAGATTTATGTATAATATAGATATATAGGTATAAGTCTATCTATATATAGATACATAGATATAAATCTATCTATATATAGATATATGATATAAATCTATCTATATATAGATATATGATATAAATCTATCTATATATAGGTATATCTAGATATAAATATATAGACATATCTATATATAAATCTATCTATATATAGATCTATAGCCATTGAAATATAGATATCTATAGATCTTTATATCTTTGTATATCTATATATCTATAGATATAAATCTATCTATACATAGATCTATAGATCTATATACATATAAATCTATCCATGGAGCTATAGATCTATATAGATATAAATCTATCCACAGAGCTATAGATCTATATGGATATAAATCTATCCACGGAGCTATAGATCTATATGGATATAAATCTGTCCATGGAGCTATAGATCTATATAGATATGAATCTCTCTATATATAGATATATAGATATAAATCCAACTATATATAGATATATAGATAAAAATCCAACTATATATAGATATAGATATAAATCCATCTATATATAGATATATATGGATATAAATAAATCTCTATATTTTTTTGAGGCAGAGTTTTGCTCTTGTTGCCCAGGCTGCAGTGCAATGGCGCGATCTTGGCTCCCCGCAACCTCAGCCTCCTGGGTTCAAGCAATTCTCCAGCCTCAGCCTCCCGAGTAGCTGGGATTACAGGCATGTGCCACCACGCCCTGCTAATTTTGTATTTTTTAGTAGAGACGGGGGTTTCACCATGTTGGCCGGGCTGGTCTCGAACTCCTGACCTCGTGATCCACCTGCCTCAGCCTCCCAAAGTGCTGGGATTACAGGCGTGAGCCACCGGGCTCAGTCGCAGCTTATCTATATTTACCATAAACAATGGCCAGGCAAGGCAGCCATTGACTGACACATTAATGTAAGACATACATCAAGTGTCCTTCAGTTCAAGGACAGGGATGAAACCCCATACTTAGTCTATTCCCCACACAGCCTCCAGTTCAGTACTAAGCACAGAGCTTTGCCTTAGTATTTAATCTTCAATGTAAGACACTAGCAACTCTCTTCGACAGTTTATTATGTTTTAAAATAATTTGAATAAAAATATAAAGAAGCTTGTTTATATTTGTAAATATTAATAACAACAAAAAACAAAGCAGTGCATTTTTTTTCTCCACTGAGAAAGCTTTTCATAGGGGGAGGGTGGGCTCCATCAAAGACAAGCAAGTCTTTTTCACCATCTAGTGGCAATAGGGGATTATAACATCAGAGATCTTAAATTTAAACTTCCCTTCCCGCATCAAGCTTTATTGAAGTATACTTGACACATAAGAATTGTATCTTAATCCTTTCAAGGACAATTAAAACTATACTTAGAAAATTGTAGTCGTGTAGGGTTCACAAATAGAGCTGCATCCCTGTGTGTACACAGGGAAGGCCAGTGTAACCTTTCCTTGCCTGTTACCTTGGGCCTGTGTGCAGGAATGTTACCTATGTGATGAACTATTTATTCATCTAACAAATCTCCACTTAGTCGTTACTGTATTCCAGCCTCCATAATGGTAATAAAAAAGCTGACTATCAGGAGTTTGAGACCAGCCTGGCCAACATGGTGAAACCACATCTCTACTAAAAACACAAAAATTAGCCAGGTATGGTGGTGCATGCCTGTAATCCCAGCTACTTGGGAAGCTGAGGCAGGAGAATCGCTTAAATGAGAAAGGCAGAGGTTGCAGTGAGTTGAGATCGCACCACTATACTTTAGCCTGGGCAACAGAGTGAAACTCTGTCAAAAAAAAAAAAAAAAAAAGAAAGCTAAGAAACCTAATTCACAAAATAGGCAATCATACAATATAAGGGAGTCAGACCTAAAGTGTCTGTCAGACCTAAAGTGACAGCTCACAAATGTCAAATTTAAATACATTTATTCCACGCTTGCTATGCTTCCAAAAATATGCAAAATATCACCCACCAATGGTTACTTTTTTCACCAATATAGGCCTTCGTCTGACGATTTGAATCTTTTGTTGGTTGGATCTTGTGTCCCATGACTTCCAGACGCCTTGGCTTTGCTCCGTGTTCCTGCTTCACACTGCAAACCGCCTTTTGATGAAGTTTGTGGCCCCACCTCTTTGACTTTGTTCCTTGAACATTTTTCTTAGACATGATTGTATTTGCTCTAGTTTCTGTGATAACCTTAGAGAACCCTTACTAACCAAAAATTATACTGGAAAGCCAAAAGGGGATGACATCAAAAGCCCGAGGCCTTGAGGTCCTTGTTCCCTGGAGATGAGACAATGCCTTCTTTGCTGTCTGTGCAGAAAAGGCTGTGCAAACCACAATTTTGTACATTCAGATTTCAACAATGACCACTACACTTGCCTAAAGTATCTGCTTTGCTGGTGTCCTGATTTTAGAAAGGTACCATAAAGCTTACCAAGGGACCATGCTCTCTGGCACCAAGGAAGCAAACTCATTACCAAGAGAAAAGATCAGTATAGATTTTGGTGGTCGGATTACTTCACAGAACCTCAAACCTTTCCCCCCATCCAAGGTACTAGCCTTAATAATAGGCCCTGAGTATGTTCCTGAAGAACTGTAAGCTACCCAGGTGCCGACCAATGCCTCTGTTGTAGACTGAATAGTGTCCCCCAAATTTCATTTGTTGCAGTCCTAACCTCCTGCCCCTCAGAATAAAACCGTATTTAGAGATAAGGCCTTTAAAGAGGCAATTAAGGCCAGACATGGTAGCTCACACTTTGAATCTCAACATTTTGGAAGGCTAAGGCAGGAGGACCACTTGAAGCCGGGAGTTCAAGACCAGCCTGGGCAACAAAGCAAGACACCATCTCTACAAATTTTTTTTTTTTTTTTGACGGAGTCTCGCTCTGTCGCCCAGGCTGGAGTGCAGTGACGCGATCTCAGCTCACTGCAAGCTCCGCCTCCCGGGTTCATGCCATTGCCATTCTCCTGCCTCAGCCTCCCGAGTAGCTGGGACTACAGGCGCCCGCCACCATGCCCGGCTAATTTTTTGTATTTTGTTTAGTAGAGACGGGGTTTCACCGTGTTAGCCAGGATTTTCTCGATCTCCTGACCTCGTGATCCGCCCACCTCGGCCTCCCAAAGTGCTCGGATTACAGGCGTGAGCCACCGCGCCCAGCCCAAAAAATTTTTTAAAGTGATTGAGTTAAAATAAAATCTTCAGAGTGGGACCTAATTCAATATGAGTGGTATTCCCATAAAAAGAAACGTGGACACAGAGAAAAATCAAATGCATGCACACGCAGAGATGACCCTGTGAACACGCCAAGAGGAGGCAGTTGACTCCAGTGATGAACAAGGAGAGAGGCCTCAGAAGAAACTAAACATGCTAACACCTCAATCTTGAACTTCTAGTCTCCAGAAGTGTGAGAAAACAAATTTGTGTTGTTGAACTCACTCTGGTTGTGGTATGTTGTTATGGCAGCCTTAGCAAACTAATATACCCTCCTATGCAATAACCTAATCTTGGTTCAACACTCTTTCCCCTCTAGAAAATTTGCAGCTCTCCATGCAGTCTTCAACTTGAGTAACAGCCCTTCTTCTTGGAAGATGAAGTTGTCTTTTTATTGATCCTGACTCATCTTTGGAAAGGTAAAATGACTTTTCAGCCAGATTTATATTCATTCGGGGATGAACAATTATCTTCTTTGGGGGAGATCAGTAAAATAGCAAAGAAACTCCCTCAGCCCCACATATTCATCAGGCCACTTCCCTCGTGATTTGCATATCATCTCTGCATATAGATTCTTCTGAGATCGCTGAAATGGGTATCCAGCCCCTGGTGTCTTTCATCAATACATCTTTGGTGGTATTCCCAGGAACTTCTACAATGTGTCAAAATAAAACATTTCAATGTCTTATTTTAATGTCTACCAGGCCACATTATGACCTCAACTGAGAGTTCGTCCTCTCAAATTATGTTCAATTATGCTATTCTGCCTAACTCCCTGAATTAATACTGTACAGTGAACACCAGATGACGATATAACCCAAGTAATGTACATCTCTGACTGTTTTAGTATCTCAGGATCCAAACTCCTCCCATCCACTTTCATTGAGAGACTTCTAATTTCAGTCTTATTTTCAATCCCTTCTCCTCAATTCCTTAAGTGATTTGTTAAAAATTCAAGCCACATTTGGCCAGGCGCAGTGGCTCACGCCTGTAATCCCAGCACTTTGGGAGGCCGAGGAGGGCGGATCACAAGGTCAGGAGATCGAGACCATTCTGGCTAACACGGTGAAACCCCATCTCTGCTAAAAATACAAAAATTAGCCGGGCATGGTGGCAGGCGCCTATAGTCCCAGCTACTCGGGAGGCTGAGGCAGGAGAATGGCGTGAACCCAGGAGGCGGAGCTTGCAGTGAGCCGAGATCGCGCCACTGCACTCCAGCCTGGGCGACAGGGTGAGACTCCGTCTCAAAAAAAAAATTAAAAAAAAAAATAAAGCCATATTTATATTGCTTTCCTTCTGGTAACAATCCCCTTTGAGCACCTAAAATGTGAACTATAGAGGCCCTCAATTGGCACAGACTATCCCATGTGACAATGCCAGTTTTACTACCTGGCACTCCCTCTTTCAAACTCAGTGATCCAGTCACGTGGATCTCCGTATCTTTTCCTGAGTGCAAAATGACATTTTATAACTCAAAGTTTAAATATACCGTTATTCGCTGCCTGGAAGACTTTTCTTTCACATACTCATTGGGCTGCATGTGATAACTTTTCAAATTCTACTCTGGTAGCACTTTTTGTATGATGTCCTTTGCAATCCTTCCCAGACCACAGCAAAGGGTGCTCACCCCCGTGACTGACAAATAGTTCTATAATTCTGTTATTATAATATATTTCCCTGATTAGATTGAGAGGATGCTCAGGAAAGGGCTTATACCTTTATTATCTTCTTATCTCTAGCACCTAACAAACACAGTAATTTACAATTAGTGGCTGTTAATTAAAAAATTTATTCAGGATCAGGAATAGAGCAGGAAAAATGTGGTCTTTGTGTGCCTCCTTGCTTTTTGAGGGGAGGGAGGTGGTTAGAGCAGGAATATGAGAAATGTTAATTTTGCACTGCCTGGGTCTTCCAAACAAAAGAAGCTGTCATTCTAACAGCTCCTGTGCCCACACTTGCCTCACCTGGGAGGTTCTCACACCTTGAACACACATTTGTGGTTTTGCTTTATCTATTTTCTCAACACTGTTGTTTTCATGGCAGTCACTAGATTAATCCCATGTTTGTCTGTATGAGATAAGCTTTCAATTTGTCATGTCACAACCAGAGAGGGGTTACAGAGCAGCAGCATGGTATTGTTAAAAAAAAAAAAAAATCTCAATTCGTTTAGCTTTCAAGCATATTATTAGGCCTATTCCTAGTTCCTCTCTGAACCACCATATCATACCAACCTCCCTCTTTTAGACAAGCTAGGCATTCTCAGAGCCCTTAATGCTGGAAAAAACAAGATGACATATGGATAAATATTTAGATCTAGCCTCTTCCCCAACACTCCAGGTAAGTGGCTTTATCCTTCCTAGTTCTTCTTTGACTGGACAGCCAGCCCATGCTTCCAGATACTTTCTTGCTTCTCCTCTGCTCTTCCAATTCAATGTTGGATCTTCACAGTTTCAAATCTGAATCACCTCCTATTATTTTTTCACATTGATTTGATTCCTTATTCTGCTAGCATGGAATTATCTACCCCTTAGTCTAGTTATTTTTCATTCTTGCCCTCCAGTGTCTACACTTTAGCTTTAACTGATATTCGTAGGTGATTAATAGAGATCTAGTCCAAGAAAAAATATAAAGAGACAGAGGTATATGATTATATGTAATAGATATTTAATTTTCTATTTTATATATGCACACATACACATAAATTTGTAGTATCAATGCACTCACTGTAGCTCTGCAAGAAAGAATCATTACATAGCCTGAAAGATGCTTATACAAGTGAATATCAGAGTTTTGAAATATTATATTTGAAAGGGTTATGAAAGATGATCTATTTCAATTCGCTCCAATTAAGCACAAGACAAAGGAGGCTGAATGTGGAGATATGTCCAAGGTGAAACAGCCAGAAAAAAGTCAATTAAAAGACTGAATGTTCTCCTCCTAAGATCAAGGATCAAGGCAAGAATGTCCACTATCACCACTTGTGTGTAGCACTGTATTGACTGTCTTAGCCAGAACAATAAGACAAGAGAAATAACTAAAAGGGGTTACAGTTGGAAAGAAAGAAGAAAAGTGTCCCCATTCACAGACAACCAGATTGCGTATGTGAACAGTGACAAAAATTTCCAAGGAATCCACACAGTAAATAATAAAATTAATAAAAGAATTTATCAAGCTATCAGGATATGTCACCATATACACACCACTTGCATTTCTATTTACCAACAAAAAGAAATTGAAATGCATATATATTTGAAAAATACCACATATTTTAAAATATAAAATAACAGGGAAAATTAACTTTTTTTTTTTTTTTTTTTTTGAGACAGAGTCTCACTCCATCACCCAGGCTGGAGTGCAGTGGTGCCATCTTGGCTCACTCCAAACTGTCTCCTGGGTTCAAGCGATTCTCCTGCCTCAGACTCCCGAATAGCAGGGATTACAGGAGCATGCCACCACACCCAGCTTATTTTTGCATTTTTAGTAGAGATGGGGTCTCACCATGTTGGCCAGGCTGGTCTGGAACTCCTGACCTCAAATGATCCACCCGCCTCAGCCTCCCAAAGTGCTGGGATTACAGGCTTGAGCCACCGCGCCTGGCAGATCTGTAAAGCTTTTATACTGAAAGATACAGAACATTGCAGACAGAATTTAAAGACCTATAGAAATGAGAGATACATTGTTCATGAATCAGCAGAATCAATATTATTAAGATATCAATTCTCCCAAGATTGATCTACAAATTACTGCCATACCACTCAAAACCTAGGAAGCAGTTTTGGAGAAACTGACAATTCCAAAGCTAGTAGGAAAAGAAAAGGACGTAGTATAGCCAAAACAACATTGAAAAAGAAGAATAAAGTTGGAGGATTTACACTACCTCATTAGGAACTTATTTTAAATCTGTAATGATCTAGCTACTGTGGTATTGGCATAAAGAAAAATGAATAGATCAGTAGAACAGAATAAAAGAATTCGGAAGGAAATCCATGCAATATATAGTCGGTTGATTTTCTTTTCTTTTTTTTTTTAATTTTTATTCTACTTTAAGTTCCAGGATACACGTGCAGAATGTTCAGGTTTGTTAACATAGGTATACATGTGCCATGGTGGTTTGCTGCACCGATCAACCCATCATCTAGGTTTTAAGCCCCACATGCATTAGGTGTTTGTCCTAATGCTCTCCCTCCCCTTGCCCCCGACCCCTCAACAGGCCCCCGTGTGTGATGTTCCCCTCCCTGTGTCCATGTGTTCTCATTGTTCAACTCCCACTTATGAGTGAGAACATGCAGTGTTTGGTTTTCTACTCTTGTGTTAGTTTGCTGAAGATGATAGCTTCCAGCTTCATCCATGTCCCTGCAAAGGACGTGAACTCATTCTTTTTTATGGCTGCAGAGTATTCCACGGTGTATCTGTGCAACATTTTCTTTATCCAGTCTATCATTGATGGGCATATGGGTTAGTTCCAAGTCTTTGCTATTGTGAACAGTGCTGCAATAAACATATGTGTGCATGTGTCTTTATAGTAGAATAATTTACCATCAGAGAGAAAATTCCATGGAGGTTCAGTATTTCTTCTTTTCAGCATTTTCTGAAGTATCTCCAAAGCAGAAATGTAGTCTGTTGCTGCATAAAGAGTGGGAAATAATACTGGCAACCTTTCTGAGACTTATTCATTGCATCCACATCATCTTTTTGTGGGTAGCCCTAAAATAATGTACCGTTCTTTTTTTTTTTTTTTTTTGAGATGGAGTCTCGTTCTGTCGCCAGGCTGGAGGGCAGTGGCGTGATCTCAGCTCACTGCAACCTCCGCCTCCCAGGTTCAAGCAATTCTTCTTTCTTCTGCCTCAGCCTCCTAGTAGCTGGGACTACAGGCACGTGCCACCATGCCCAGCTAATTTTTGTATTTTTAGTAGAGACGGGGTTTCACCATTTTGGCCAGGATGGTCTCAATCTCTTGACCTCATGATCCTCCTGCCTTGGCCTCCCAAAGTACTGGGATTACAGGCATGAGCCACCGCGCCCAGCCAATAGTGTACTCTTCTAACCCTTCCCCCAAGCACAATCAAGTAACCTAAATGATTCACTTTGAGCCTCACAAGCTTTGGTCTATAGGAACTGGACAGGTAAGTCAGAAGGAGTGTCAGATAAACAAATTCGAGGAAAAGTGGATTCCGGGGCCAGATGTTAGTCCATTTCTTTTCTCTCTTTTGCTTTAACCATTTGTATTGCAGTTGCAGCAAATATTGTCTAAATGAGAAAAGCAAAGGAAGGGCATTGCCATAGTCAAAGAGGGAAATAATGAAAAGGGAGAATAAATACAAGGAAAAAAGATGATTGAAGAAGCAAGTCAAAAACCACAGAATGGGGAAAAATCTAACATTTATTAATTACCTACTGTACATCAACTACAGTCTTAGTTGCTTGACATGAAATATCTCTATTCCTCAAAACAACTCTGATAAAGAAATATTGTCATTGCCCTTTTATAAATAATCTGAATCTCAGTGAGGATCATCAACTTGCTCTAGGTGACAAAAATGAAGTGGTAAAGTGGAAAGTGTTTATTGCACAAAGACCCTAGTCTTTCCTGTGCACCAAGCTTTCCTATAGTTAAAGAAGGGAACCATATGCATGATCCTAAGGCCATGAAAGTTCTATCTCTGTTGGAGTGAGTACATGACAGACCTAAAAGATGCATTCTGATTGCAAATACTAACTAGCGAAGAGATTTTTTTTTACTGTGCTTTGAAAAATCTTGGCAATCATTCAAATTTATGACCTTCTCTGAGAATGAAGAATATTTGATGTGATATAAAACAATTCAGTAATGGCCATGATTACAATCTGCTACTAAGAAGCAAGTTATACAATCACTATTGTACAGTGGTGACATTGACAATATGCATTCCCCACGCCACCATACACTGTTAACCATTCATCTCTCACTTGGAAAACAGACAAGTTGTGAACAGGGATTATAAAGCATCACTCAAATAGATAGAACCATCAGTGGATTTCTGAAGGGTAACGATGCCTTTATAGGGTGAAGCTCACTTCCCAAAAGAAAAAGTGTTTCTGAAAGCAAATGGACCTTCATGTTCTATGAGAAATATCTGCCCTCAATGGCCTTCTCTTTAAGCCATATTGAACAATAGAAAAGTTACTTAAGCACGCATTCCCCTGTCTTTGGTAGGCTCCATATCAAGTACAACTTGATCTCATTGATATTATAAAACTCTCCTACAATCTGAAGGAGAAACTACCAACATTATCCATTATTTTTAACTTCATTTAAATCAACAAGCCTGACTTCATAACACTATTGGGAGAAGAGTAAAGTTCCCCTTCCCAAAGACAATGTAGACAGGAAACATGTTTATGTATTGTTTGAATAACCCTACAGTTAGACAAGACAAGCTACTGACTATAATTGGGTTTATGGGACACTGTCCCTGGAGTTTTAGAATTTGTAATACTATACAAATAGATGTTTAATTTGCTGCATGAATTGAAGACTTTTCAAAAGGAACAAATAGCTTAAATTGCCCTACACTGCCAATGGCTGGTTCTTTGCAGGATGTTTCTGCAGCACAAACATCAGGACAACAGCAAGATGAAAGAAGTATCTGCCATGTGTCTCCTAGCATGAGACACATGTCACCATTTTCCTGAGTTTGAGAAGGAAACTCTGGGCTTGTTTCTAAGTGTCCAAAGTCTCTGTTACTTTATGGCTGCAGAAATCTATACCTTTTTTTGCCTTTATTCCCTGAGACTTCCAAATTATTTTGGATATATCTCTAGGAATGGCAGAAGAAACTGTGAACTTGGAAATCCAAACAGTTCCTAAGTAAGAAGATTATTACCAAATCAGAGGAAGAAAATCATGCCAATGGTACAGAGGTAAATAGATCAGTTAAAATGTGGTTTTGGAAAAAGAAAGAATGCAAAATATTGTTTCTTTTCTCATTCTTTTGTGATACCGATTAAATACACCATCCTCCTACCCTCACATTGCCAAAAGAAAATCTTACAGCAAAAGTAACATTTTAAGGATGTATCTGTTGACTTCCTGCTTAAATTTTTCTTATTAGTGACAAATTTCTTCAATATATATTACTATCACTAACCTAGAGAACCATTGAAGAACAGAACACAAGTTCATATAAATAAAACATGCCAGATATGTGAAGGAGGGGGTTATGTTTTATATATGTGTGACGTTAATCCTTCTATGCATACGTACAGGTGAACATAACATAAAAAAATGTTCCCGGCAAATTGGACATCTGTAAAAGTATTTTTCTTCCTGGGATTTTTTCACTACCCCAAAGTTCAGGTCATCATATTTGCGGTGTGCTTGCTGATGTACCTGATCACCTTGCTGGGCAACATTTTTCTGATCTCCATCACCATTCTAGATTCCCACCTGCACACCCCTATGTACCTCTTCCTCAGCAATCTCTCCTTTCTGGACATCTGGTACTCCTCTTCTGCCCTCTCTCCAATGCTGGCAAACTTTGTTTCAGGGAGAAACACTATTTCATTCTCAGGGTGCGCCACTCAGATGTACCTCTCCCTTGCCATGGGCTCCACTGAGTGTGTGCTCCTGCCCATGATGGCATATGACCGGTATGTGGCCATCTGCAACCCCCTGAGATACCCTGTCATCATGAATAGGAGAACCTGTGTGCAGATTGCAGCTGGCTCCTGGATGACAGGCTGTCTCACTGCCATGGTGGAAATGATGTCTGTGCTGCCACTGTCTCTCTGTGGTAATAGCATCATCAATCATTTCACTTGTGAAATTCTGGCCATCTTGAAATTGGTTTGTGTGGACACCTCCCTGGTGCAGTTAATCATGCTGGTGATCAGTGTACTTCTTCTCCCCATGCCAATGCTACTCATTTGTATCTCTTATGCATTTATCCTCGCCAGTATCCTGAGAATCAGCTCAGTGGAAGGTCGAAGTAAAGCCTTTTCAACGTGCACAGCCCACCTGATGGTGGTAGTTTTGTTCTATGGGACGGCTCTCTCCATGCACCTGAAGCCCTCCGCTGTAGATTCACAGGAAATAGACAAATTTATGGCTTTGGTGTATGCCGGACAAACCCCCATGTTGAATCCTATCATCTATAGTCTACGGAACAAAGAGGTGAAAGTGGCCTTGAAAAAATTGCTGATTAGAAATCATTTTAATACTGCCTTCATTTCCATCCTCAAATAACAATCACACTCATATAGATAATCAACATTACCCAGAAAACTGCATAATAGTTTACTTAAACCAACCCTGGAAACTACTTATTTTCAATAGAAGTTTACTATTATATCCTCTATTCTGATTTGTCTTATAAGTAAAACTTTTCATATTAACAAATCATTTATGAAGAATAAATTAAGTTTCCAAGAAAGCAATTAGCATTTATTGAATATTAGTATAACATTAAAATTAGATAATTGCCTATTATTTCATATTTACTTTCTATAGCATCTCAGTGTCCAGCTGTGACATAAGCATAATAACAATAAATATGCCAAAACTGTAAAATTTTGAGACTAGTCAATTTTGAAATAATTTACTCCAAATAATTCACAATTTCCCCTCAATTTAAAAAGAATATATGTTTTTTAATTAGTGTGGATACAACTCAAAGTATACACACATGCACACACACACACACACACACCCCTAATAATTTGTAAAACCAAAACAGCATCAATTTTGGAACTCTTCCTAGTTTCCAACATGTTAAAGTGGAAAAAACATGGTTTTAACTGTAATGAAATATGAGTGATTTTGGGTTTTTCTGTTTTGTTTTGTTTTGTTTTTTGAGACAGGGTCTTGCTCTGTCACCCAGGCTGGAGTGCAGTGGCGCAATCTCAGCTCACTGCAAGCTCCGCCTCCTGGGTTCACGCCATTCTCCTGCCTCAGCCTCATGAGTAGCTGGGACTACAGGCGCCCACCACCAAGTCTGGCTAATTTTTGTATTTTTAGTAGAGACAGGATTTCACCTTGTTAGCCAGGATGGTCTCAATCTCCTGACCTTGTGATCCGCCCGCCTTGGCCTCCCAAAGTGCTGGGATTACAGGCGTGAGCCACCACGCCCGGCTGAGTGATTTTCTTTATTTGGAATGTTATATGTGGGGGATGATAAAATATCTGTGTGTGTGCAAATATATCATAACAAGGGTTGGCACTATTGTAATCCTATGTATGAGGTGGAATAGAGGTACAATTGGGAGATCCTGAAGTATCTATGGATATAAGATTAGAATATACTTATATTGTACTTTGATTGTCTCAGTGAATTCATCAACACACACCTATCATGTTATTATTTTTCTTAAAGCATGCTGAATTGACCAGTTAATTAAAGCTGAGGAGTGAAATTATATTGCAAGATAAATAATATATGAATGCAGATACATATTGTAGAAACAGATTCATAAATATATGTGAGCAAAATTACATAAATTATAATTTTACCAATGTTACATATTGATGTACTTTTCCTTGTCTTTTCCACCCTCTCTGGAGCTATAGAGTATTGAGGCCAATGTGCACACATTAGTTCTTTATCAGAGAAGGTTCCTTGGATTTATGTGGGTGATGGCTTTATCCTAGGGAGAAGGTACCTCTTGCTGCATACATATAACCTTCCTAAGCCTTAGGTGTAGGGAATATGATGCAATTACAGATAATGATTACAAGAGGTCCCAGACTGAGCAAGACAGAGCTTGCAAGAAATTACTCAGTTGTAGATGAATGGATTAGGAATGGAACCATGTAGAAGGAAAGAATTCAATGAGTAGGAAGTGTGCTGGTGATCTTAATCCAAGTGCTGTTAGCACACATCAGAACACTTTTCTTACTCAAGTATCAGATTCCCAGTTCTATTCAGAATCTCTACAAAGGTAGGTACTGGAAATTTTTATTAAAAATCAAAGCTACACAGTTATTTTTATTTCCATCCTTACTTAAACATTTCAGGATCAGGCAGTAGTGACCACAGCATGATGCTGTTATTTGGCTGAAGAGGAGGAAGGGATGTTAAAACTGTTAACCACTCAGTTTCTACACCAATTTTAGAAAAAAAAACTAATTCCAGGTAATCACAAACATTAAGCACACAATAATTCATCTTATGTGTTTATATGGGTGGAAAAAAACCTATAAAAATTGTATTGAATTTAAAGTTTTATGTTTCATCAGCTCCAGTGGGCATGTATTAGGCATGTGATATCTTCTTCAAAGTCTTAATCAGTGTTTTTAAGGGATGCAATGAACTAAATTAGGAATTGCAGTGTAGGACAAGCCAACAAGCTGTCCAGAAGCAAAACAACAAAATGGCCTTATCTACCTGGTTGGACCCCCACAAGCCTAGAAAAAGTCCTCAGATTTCAGCTACATCTGCAAGAGTCATCTTGTCCAAACAAAGCCAAGATGGAGTTAACTTCTACATAACCCAAGTATGTTTTCGTTGCTTTCCTCCCAAGGATGGAACTATATATGTAATCCTGAACTGTGTCCTGATTACATCTTCATTATTCCATGATGACCAGCCCCCACCACTACAACATTTTAAAAATATTATCATTGACTGATAAATAATAATTGTATACATTTATGGGATACAATGTGATATTTTTCTCTATGTACACAAAGTGGGATGATTTATTATTTTTATTTTTTTCATTTCAAATTTTATCTTGGATTCAAGTAGTACATATGCAGGTTTCTTACAGGGGTATATTGCGTGATGCTGAGGTTTGGGATACAAATGATCCTGTCATCCAGATAATGAGCACAGCACCCAACAGTTAGTTTTTCATCCCTTGCATCCATACCTCACTCCTCTATTATCCCCCATGTCTATTGTTACCATAAGTACCCAATTTTTAGCTCTCGCTTACAAGTGAGAACATGTGTTTTCTGTTTCTCCATTAAATGGCTTAGGAGAGTGGCCTCTAGCTGCATCCATGTTGCTACAAAAGGCATGATTTTGTTCTTATTTATGACTGCCTAGTATTCCATGGTATATATGTACCATATTTTCTTTACATAATCCACCATGGGAACCTAGGATGGGCACCTAGGATGATTCCATGTCTTTGCTACTGTGAATAGTTCTGTGATGAACATATAAGTGCATGCATCTTTTTAGTAGAATGACTTATTTTCTTTTGGATATAAACCCAGTAATGGGGTTGGTGAGTGAAATGGTAGTTCTAAGTTCTTTAAGAAATCTCCAAACTGCTTTTCACAATGGGTGAACCAATTTACATTCCCACCAACAATGTATAAGCATTCCCTCTCTAAGCATTTCCATTTCTCTGCAGCCTTGCCAACATCTGCTGTTCTTTGGCTTTTTAATAATAGCCATTCTGATGGTACAAGATGGTATCTCATTGTGATTTTGAGTTGCACTTCTCTTATGATTAGTGATGTTGAGCATTTTTTCATATCTTTGTTGGCCATGTGTATGTCTTCTTTTGAGAAGTGTCTGTTCATGTCTTTTCCTTACTCCTTAATGGGGTTATTTGGTTTTTGCTTGTTGAATTAAATTCCTTATAGATTCTAGATATTAGACCTTTGTCAAATGCATAGTTTGCAAATATTTTCTCCCATTTTGTAAGTTGTCTGTTTACTCTGTTGATAGTTTCTTTTGCTGTGCAGAAGTTCTTTAGTTTAATTAGGTCCCACTTAATCAATTTTTCTTTTGTTGCAGTTGCTTTTGAGGGCTTGGTCATAAATTATTTCCCAAGGCCAATGGCCAGAATGGTGTTTGCTAGGTTTTATTCAAGGATTCTTATAGTTTGAGGTCTTACATTTAAATCTTTAATCCATCTTGAGTACATTTTTGTGTATGGTGAAAAGTAGGAGTCCAGTCTCATTCTTTTGCATGTAGCTTGCCACCTATCCCAGTACCATTTATTGAAAAGGGAGTCCTTTCTTCATTGTTTATTTTTGTCAACTTTGTAAAGATTAGATGGCTGTAGGTCTGTGGCTTCATTTCTGGGTTCTCTATTCTGTTCCACTGGTCTATGTGTCTGTTTATGTACCAGTACCAAGCTGTTTCAGTTATGGTGGCCTTATTGTATAGTTTTTAGAGTTGGGTAATGTGATGTTGTTTTTGCTTTGTTCTTTTTGCTTAAGATTGCCTTGGGTATTCAGGGTCTTTTTGGTTCCATATGAATTTTAGCATAATTTTTCCAATTCCATGAAAAATTACATTGGAAGTTTGATAGGAATAGCATTGAATCTATAGATTGCTTTGGGCAGTGTGGCCGTTTTCGATATTGATTCTTCTAATCCATGAGCATGAAATGTTTTTCCATTTGTTTGTATCATCTGTGATTTCATTCAGCAGTGTTTTGTAGTTCTCCTTGTGGAGATCTTTCATCTCCTTGGTTAGATGTATCCCTAGGTATTTTATTTTTGTGTGTGGCTATTGTAAATGGGATTGCACTCTTGATTTGGCTTTTGGCTTGAATGCTATTGGTGTATAGAAATGCTACTAATTTTTGTGCATTGATTTTGTACCCTGAAACTTTACTGAAGTTGTTTATCAGTTCCAGGACCCTTTGAGCAGAATCTTTAGGGTTTTCTAGGTATAGAGTCGTATAATCAACAAAGAGAGATATTTTGACTTCTTTTCCTATTTGGATGTCTTTTATTTCTCTTCTCTGATTGCTCTGGCTAAGACTTTCAGTACTATCTTGAATAGGAGTGGTGAGAGTAAGCATCACTGTCTTCTTTCAGTTCTCAAAGGGAATGCTTCCAACTTTTGCCCATTCAGTGTGATGTTGGCTCTAAGTTTGTCACAGAAGGTTCTTATTATTTTGAGGTATGTCCCTTTGATGCCTAGTTTGTTGAGGGTGTTTATCATGAAGAGATGTTGGATTTTACCAAAGGCTTTGTCTACATCTATTGAGATGATATATGGTTTTTGTTTTTAATTGTGTTCATGTGGTGAATCACATTTATTGATTTGCATATGTTGAAACAACCTTGCATCCCAGGAACGAAATCTATTTGATTGTGACGAATTAACTTTTTGATATATGCTGCATTCAATTTGCTAGTATTTTGCTGATGATTTTTTGCATCTTTCCTCCTCAGTAATATTGCCCTGTAGTTTTCTTTTTGCATCATGTCTTTGCCAGGTTTTGTTATCAGGGTGATGCTGGCTTCATAGAATTAGTTAGGGAGGAGTCCCCCTTGATTTTATGAAAATTGTTTTAGTAGAATTGGTACCAGCTCTTATTTGTACATCTGGTAGAATGCAACTGTAAATCCATCTAGTCCAGAGCTTTTTTTGATTGGTAAGTATTTGGTTCCCAGTTCAATTTTGGAACTCAATATTGGATTGTTTAGGGTTTCAGTTTCTTCCTGATTCAATCTTGGGGGGGTTGTATGTTTCCAGAAATTTACCCATTTCCTCTAAATTTTCTAGTTTGTGTGCATAGAGGTGTTCAGGATAGTCTCTGAGGATCTATTGCATTTCTGTCACAACAGTTATAATGTCATCTTTGTCATTTCTGTTTGTGATTACTTGGATCTTCTCTCCTTTTTTCTTTGTTAATAAATACAGAGCAGTTTATGCATTCTGCAAAGTCAAACTGGATCTATTCTAGCTCCTCCTGACCCAAAGGAGGGAGAGAACATGGTCCAGGTGACTAAGGATTCTTGACTTTGCTTTTTCCATGCAGGATAATGACTGAACACATCCTCTGCCCTACATAATTTTGCCTTAGGGATCTTTCTTGAATCCATTTCTATGATACTTAACACCCACTGCTGACTTCCTTCTCCCTTGGCACCTTTACTCTAAAAGTCAGAAAGGCTTACTATTATCTTTTTAAGCCTCACTTGCAGCTGGGGTGCTCATGGAAATAGTTCCTGTCAATAAGAATAAGTGTAAGTTTTCTAGGGGCTCTGGGAAGGGTTTTGCTTTTAATACAAAGGGGCCTAAAGGCAGCATCTGCCTTGAATGTGGTCACTACGTTGTGACCATGAGGGGATAAGCATGGTAGAATGACCGAGGAAATTGTACACAGGCCAGTATGGCAGGCCAAGTCACTGACATGGGCTATTTCAAACTACTGTTACGCTTAATTTTAATCTTCCATCTACAGTCAGACAAAGCTAGTATACCCTGCTTTTCCCAGAGCCGAGCTGGAGAGCAGGGTGTATGCACAAGGCCCTGACAAGGGCACACAGGATCTACTAGTCAGTGCCACCAGAATGACTTCTCACTGCCTATGCCTGTGACTAAATGTCATCAAATGATATGTGAACAAACCCAGATATACTCTTAGTTGTGGATGGTGCAAAAGATTGCTAATGAAAGGGTTATTTTTTTGAAGTGTTTAAGTCCACCAAAATTACATCTCAGATTTGAAATATCATGAAGAGTCTCCAAAAAAAGGTAAAATCATCTGATCAACTGCTGCCCTTGCTCACATTAGTAATCACATTTAGTACAAGTATATTTTCCTAGATGGATGTCTAATTGTGACTGTGAAATATCATTAATGAGGTGGACGGATCACAAGGTCAGGAGATCAAGACCATCCTGGCTAACACGGTGAAACCCCGTCTCTACTAAAAATACAAAAAAAAAAAAAAAAATTAGCCTGGCGTGGTGGCAGGCCCCTGTAGTCCCAGCTACTCTGGAGGCTGAGGCAGGAGAATGGTGTAAACCCGGGAGGAGCAGCTTGCAGTGAGCCAAGATTGTGCCACTGCACTCCAGCCTGGGTGACAGAGCGAGACTCTGTTTCCAAAAAAAAAAAAAATCATTAATGTAATATGTGCAGTCATGAGTCACCAAATCTACATTAAGAAAATGTCAGCCGGGTGCAGTGGCTCACGCCTATAATCCCAGCACTTTGGGAGGCCGAGGTGGGCGGATCACGAGTTCGGGAGTTTGAGACCAGCCAATATGGTGAAACCTCATCTCTATTAAAAATACAAAAATTAGCCAGGTGTGGTGGTGCACGCCTGTAGTCCCAGCTACTCGGGAGGCTGAGGCAGAAGAATCGCTTGAACTGGGGAGGCAGAGGTTGCAGTGAGCTGAGATTGCACCACTGCACTCCAGCCTGGGTGACAGAGCAAGACTCCATCTCAAAAAAAAAAAAAGAAAATGTCTGACTTAGCAGAACTATCTTTGGAGATATGATCTAAACTATGGTAATTCTAAATCCATGTAATGGTAAGTCAAATTAAAGTGATATCTTGTTGAGATTATAAATTGCATCATATTTTGTTTATCCATCATTTCTCATTGAATGGTAGATTATTTTATACTAATAAAAAATTAAAGTCCAAAAAAGTGATGCAATCTGGCCTAGACCATCAGGCAGCTAGTGGCACAATAATTCATAAAACTCGACCTGTGACTTTAAAATCATCACCCTTTTATTGTTTGACACTGTCTCTCAACTGTCTTGAGTCTTGCTTCAGCTTCACTTTGCAACTTATTTTTTTCCCCAAAGACCACTGAAGTATTTTCAAAGATTGGAGCCTGCACAAGGGAGATGGGGATGAACTGATAATTCCTCTTATAGTGCTTTTTAGGATCGAGGGCGACCTGATTACCTAAACAGCTACAACTGGCTCTCAACTAGCACAGAAGCAAATCAATACAGAGTGGCTTCCATATCACCAAAGAAACATGGTCCCACCACAAATAATTGCATTGTAATGAGAAAGATGGCTATATAGTGTGGAAAAAAATTAATCAGGAAACAAAGGCAAGGCTTTGAATGCCACAGAAATGAAGGCTAGCAGGAGCTTACAGGGGAGAATGATTTACTTACAAGGTGTTAGCAACATAAGGAAAGAACAACTGAAATACACGTGGAACAGGGTCCTGGCTGCAGTGATAATACTATAAGTAATAATAATAAATAGTAAAAATCCAGAATGCTTATTGAGTTATTACTGTGCTCTAGACACTCTTCTAAATTCTTTACACGCAGTAATTTAATACAAGCAATAATGCTAGAGTTGGTATTGGTAATATTTTATTCCATTTCATCAACCATATTGTCACTTCCACTTTCCAAATGAGCAACCTGAGTAAAAAGAGATTAAATGGCTTAGGTTGTTTACAAATCAGGTATGTGGTGGAGCTGGAATCCAACCAATTCGACACAGACCCTTTCACTTAACCATTATGTTATTCTAATTCTCACAATTAGCTGAATGTCCTTGAACTCATGTTTCCCTCTCAGCTTCACTAAAAAGCAGCTCTGCTGGAAAAACTGTGGAGCCCAGGTTCTTCAAAAGGTTCTGGGGTTGGACTAGTAAGTAAACTGTGGTTTACTTACGAAGACTGGGCAAATTTAGGGATAACTTAAACTAAAACACAAATCATAATCAATGTCCACCTTAGCCCTTGAGTATTCGCAATAGTTGACCCTTGAACATGGCTTTGAATTGCACAGGTCCACTTATGCATGGATTTTCTTCCACCTCTACCACCCCTCAAACAGCAAGACCAACCTTTCCTCTTCCTCCTCTTCCTCAGCTTGCTCAACATGTAAAACATGAGGATGAAGACTTTTATGATGATCCACTTCCACTTAATAAATACTAAATATATTTTCTTTACCTTATGATTATCTTAATAACATTTTCTTTACCTTATGATTTTCTTAAAAACATTTTCTTTTCTCTAGCTTAATTTATTGCAGAAATGTAGTCTATCATCCATATAACATACAGAATATATGTTAGTCAAGTATTTCTGTTATCAGTAAGGCTTCCAATCAACAGCAGGCTACTAGTAGTTAAGTTTTGGGGAAGCCAAAAGTTATACACAGATTTTAGACTGCATGGAGTTGGGGGTTGGCATCCCCGTATTCTCTTGATAGAGATGGGGAAATGCTGAGGTATGAATCCAGGTAGCATAGCACACACTTCCTCCTTCTAAACATCTTCAGGAATAATCTTTCAGGCTGTCATGCAATTGAACTTGAAGATATCTCCTTGCTGGACTAGCAATTTTAAATAAATTAATTATTTAAAAGTTATAAAAGAAAACATATGTATAATATACATATAATATATCATGTATATTAGCCAACTAATTCTTTTATAAAAGGTATACAAATAAACTAAGGTAAGAAAGAAATTAATAACAACAAAGGCTTCTATTTTAAAATGGCATTGGCTCAATACACTTTGATTCAGTTTTTTTTATGGAACTACCACATGTGTGAAGTTATATCAGCTATTATTTATTTATTTAGGTATTTTGTGTTTCCATTTGTAAACTGTAAGTCTCAAGAGAACACCAACCTTTCCATTTCTATACTATCCTGAATCCCCAGTTTCTTCAACAGTGCTGAAGATTTTAAAAGTACCTTAAATAAATATTTGTCAAATGAACCAAAAGCAGATATTAGAAAACAAAAAATTTAACTCAGGTGAATTCGTAAAAAATTAACAGTAAATGAAATTTTAGTTAGCTCATTTAAAATAAAAAGAAAAAATAGAAATGTGTTAAATTGTGAGCAATACAAGCAGTAGAATGACATATAAAGATATAATTTTTAGAATGAGAAAATGTTATAAATACAGTGTGTATTAATTAATTTGAAAATCCTGTTGCAATGGAGGATCTTTGAAAAAATAAAATGTAAGACCTCCAACTATAAGAAACCTTGAAGCAAACGCCATTCCGGACACTGGCCTTGTAAAAGAATTTATGACTAAGCACTTGAAAGCAATTGCAACAAAACAAAAATTGATTAAGTGGGACATAATTAAACTAAAGAGCTTCTGCACAGCAAAAGAAACTATCAACAGAGTAAACAGACAACCTACAGAATGGGAGAAAATATTTGCAAACTGTGCATTTGACAACGGTCTAATATCCAGAATCTATCAGGAACTTAAACAAATTTACAAGAAAAAGTCAAATAACCCCATTAAAAATAGACAAGCGATATGAACAGATGCTTCTCAAAAAAGGACATACATGTTGCCAATGAACATTAAAAAAACGCTCAATATCACTAAACATCAGAGAAATGCAAATCAAAACCACAATGAGATACAATCCCACACCAGTCAGAATGGCTATAGTCAGAAAACAACAGATGCTGTCAAGGCTGCAGAGAAAAGGGAACACTTATACATTCGTGTGGGGACTTAAATTAGTTCAGCCACTGTGGAAAGCAGTTTGAAGATTTCTTAAAGAACTTAAAACAGAGCCACTCTTTGACCCAGCAATCCCCATTACTGGATATAACCCAAAGGAAAATAAATCGTTCTACCAAAAAGACACACGTGAACTCCCATGTTCATTGCAGCACTATTAATAACAGCAAAGACATGGAGTCAACCTAGGTGCCCATCCCTGGGAGACTGATAAAGAAAATGTGGTACATATACATTATGGGATACTACACTGCCATAAAAAAGAATGCACTCATGTGATTTGCAGGGACATGGATGCAGCTGCAGGCCATTAAGCTAAACAAAATAATGCAGGAACAGAAAGCCAAATAGTACATGTTCTCACTTATAAGTGGGAGCTAAACTTTGGGTACTCATGGACATAAAGATGGCAAGAATAAACACTGGAAGTAATAGAGGGGGGCAGGAAAAAGAGGCACAAGGGTTGAAAAACTAACTGTTGGGTACTATGCTCACTACCTGGGTGATGGGATCAATCATACCCCAAACCCTCACATGTACCCCCCACATATACCCCCTGAGTCTAAAATAAAAGTTGAAATTATAAATAAAATAAAATTTCAATGTAAGAAAGAAATATACTTTCAAACCACGAGTCATATCACACTCCATTTTAAAACACATTCCTGTGAAAGTTAGGTTTAAGACAAGGATAGCTTCTAATACCATTATTATTTAACATTAATTGTTATGGATAATCCAATGCATGCAAATAGAAATACACATTTAATGTTATAAATATTGGAATAAAAGAGAAAGTTACCAATACTAATATCCAATTTTTTAAAGAAAATGGAGGAGAATCAACCAAGAAATCTATTGGAATTGTAAAAATGTTTAGTTACCTAGTAACATAAAAATATGTAATAATTAATGGTTTCTCTGTAAGCAGCAGTTGCTTAAAAATTATCATGAAAAAATAATGCTAACATTATAAATACAAAATATGAAAAGCAATCAAAGATCTTTAAAAATTAAAAAAACTACTATATACATGAACTAATGATAACCTCAATATATAAAGAATTTTTAAAAGCGAATGGAATTTTTAATGTATTTACTTTGTCCAAATTTCCATTGAAACCAAAGTAGAAAATGGATAAATAATAAATATAAATTATAAACTAAGAACACAGACTAGCAAATGAATACACAAACATGTTCAATTTCACTTCTATGCAAATAAAAGTTAACAAATTCAGAAATGAGATGTTATTTTCAATCTATTAAATGGTCAACATTTTAAAAATGCATATACACTTATGAGTAGTTGATGATAATGGCAGCTGCTTAAATCCACACCTCCCTACATATCTTCCAAAAATACAGAATATAACAGAAGAAAAAATAAAACTCTCCAAACCCACATAGTAGACATAACTAGAAATAAGAAAATATCTAAACTTCAAGTTACCTGTAAACACAAAATTTAACACCAAATCCTAACCCACCTCATGCTCCCAGTGAGCAAAGATTTTCATGGAAAGACAGAAGGGAATAGAAGCAGGCAGACTTAAGATTGATCTAAAACCAAGGACAGAGCCCTTAACACAGGTATGTATGACTTGAGGTAGCTATCTTTGAAAGCCATGGCTTCTTGGGTAAAAGTTAAGTGAAAAGGAAGGGAGAGGAACCTTTGGAGATCTTGAAGTTAAAAAAAAAAAAGAAAGAAAAAAAGAAAAATTTGGATCCTGCAAAAGAAAAAGACTAAAATATCAGAAAGCATACAATTCCTCCTCATGTAGCCAGGCAATATAAAAATGCAGGAGGAGGAGAAACAAAGAGCTTTCAGGACAAAGAGTAAAATTGGCTTTAGTAAGCTAACGCTATAAAGAAGCAAAGCAGTCATGTAATGAAATTTTACCGTACATCACAGACAGATGAGGGGCACTTGTGACCTAAAAATGTTATAAACTATCCAAAATAATGAAATGAATAGATTAAACTAGGCTATATTCAAAACTACTATAAAATGAAATAGAAAATGAGAATCAAAACCCCTTAGCTGATGGAAATCTCTGCCCCTGCCCATCAAAAGTAAAAATACACAAGAAGTAAATAAAAATGGTAACACAACATTACAAACTGATATATATAAATATATAAATATAAATATATAAATATATAAATATATATAATATATAAATATATAATATATATACACATATATAAATATATATATCCATATATAATATATATATATCCATATATATATTATATATATATCCTTAAGCACTTCAGGGGAGTTTAAAACCACATTGAATCAGAAATTCAAAAATTTACAGAAAGGGACATAATAACACACCAGGAAGAAATGAAAAGATATTTGATTGAACTCAGAAAAGAAAGAAAAGAAAAAACTGATTTTGGAAATGAAGACTAAAATAAACATAGCCAAGGTAACAATAGATTAAAATGAAATGTAATAAGGGCCTTGAATAAAGGCAGTAAAGCAATCAACAAAACAAAGTTCAAGAAAATCTATTCACACGTAGTTGAAATGAAACACAGGCAAAGAAGAAATATCGTTTCTTTTACAAGTATGTAAAATTTGAATCTCTAAAACAGAAAATAAAACAATAGAATAGAATTAGTATTTAAAACAAGTTTAGAAAAAATTTCTGTAAATATAGAAATGCTGAAAGCATTCACCAGATTCCTAGAAAAATTTACACAGCTTAATCAATCCTAAGACATAGCCCAGTAAAACTATTAAGGTTTGAAGATAAAAACAAAAAATCTTCAAGTTTTTAAACTAAAAAGATTAATACTTTACAAGGGAAAAAGTCTTAATTCAGCATCAGACTTCTCAAAATAATCATACAATGTAGTGCATTTTCAAAACACTCAGAAAACACATACCAAAAAATTTTATCCATTCAAATTGTCCTTCAAATATCAATGCTATTAAAATATGTTTAAAAGTGCAAGATCCAAGGAATGCTATACTCACAATCCCTTTGTGGAGTTGATGAGAAAATACTCAAACAAAAAAAGATAAAGAAACTTGGGCAAAAAGCTAAGTGGAAAGCATTTAATAAATTTAATTATAGATCTAAGAAAATAAAGCTGGGAATGAGGATGCAAGTATAATATATGAATGCTATATGTTCTGACAAAATAAAAATGATACAATCAGAAAAGCTACAGGGAACGTCTGCTTCTGGCAATAATAAACTAGCTAAGACCAGTTTTACCCTCGATCATGAACTATTAGAAAATTGGACAAAATAAATGAAATAATAGTTTTTAAAAATTGAACAATCAAGGCAAAACTGTGACTTTGGGGGAAAGAAAACTAAAATTAAGAGAACCTTATGATTACTTGTTAGACTCTGGTTCATGGAAAAGGATCCCAAAAAGATCACAGTGGTCTCACTAGATTGAAAAGGATCAGAATAAAATTCAGGAGACTAGACAACTAGAGTTTTCAGTGAAGAGTTCTGGAAGTAAAAAAGCCTTGGCAAAGAAAAAGCTCCAGAGACCACCAAAAGGGTTCCGTTGTAGCTGTTGCTAAATACTAAGCCACACGTGCAGAATGCTGAAGCTTCATGGGTCCAAGCAAAGAAGAATAGAGAGTACAAGCCCAACTATTCCCAAAGCTCGCAAAGGCTTGGGAGACATTTGGGAGACATTCAAGCAACCAAAGTGGAATATCTTCACTGACTATCCAGAGCATTTATTAGATACCTATGAACTGTCAGATAGCAGTAGGATAAATGTAAAAGAAATGATGGAGTTAGAAAATCACTGAAGTAGTTTCGTTGTCTGGGGAAATACCTGTGGTTCGTCATCTCATGTCACACAGATTAAGGACATGGACTCACACACATGGAGCGGGTTAAGGAGCAGAAAGTTTAATAGGCAAGAAAGAAGAGAACAAATCCCTTGTACAGAGCTGTGTGTGTGTGTGAGAGAGAGAGAGAGAGAGAGAGAGAGCGAGCGTGAGAGCACAAGCAAAAAAATTATTTTAAGGAATTGACTCATGCAATATTGGGGATGCCACATCTGAGATCTGCAGGGCAGGCAAGAAATTCTGGCAGGAGTTGTTGTAGGCTCGAGTCTGAATGAAGACACTATGGAGGCAGAATTCCTTTCTTTTCTGGGGAACTCAGTTTTTTAATGTTGACAGCCGATTGAATGAGGTCCACCCACATTACATAAGGTAATCTGCTTTACTCAAAAGGTATTGATTGAAATGTTAATCACATCTAAAACTACCTTCACATTAACATCTAGATTGGTATTTGACCAAACAACTGGGTACCGTGGCCTAACAAAGTTGACACATGAAGTAAAACATCACAGGGTAGCAAGAGGGAGTTCCTTGGTAGTGACTGATCAGTCACATGTTTTGATTATGGTGGTGGTTACAAGAATCTATACATGGAATAAAATTGCATAGAACTACACACACACACAGCGACACATGAATACATGAAAAAACAGTGAAAACTGAACAAATTCTACAGTCTTGTTAATAGTATTGAACCAATGACAACGTTGTGGTTTTGATATTATGCTACCATAACACAAAATGTCATAATTAGAGGAAGCTGATGAGGGGTACATGATACTCTATATATTATTTACTTTGATTCTATAGTTATTTCCAAATAAAAAATTTTAATAACTTTATGGATGCTCAAGTTCTTTCTTTTCAAGATGGCCGAATAGGAACAGCTCCAGTCTGCAGCTCCCAGCGAGATCGACACAGAAGGCAGGTCATTTCTGCATTTACAACTGAGGTACCCAGTTCATCTCATTGGGACTGGTTGGACAGTGGGTGCAGCCCACCGAGGGCGAGCCGAAGCAGGGTGGGGCATTGTCTCACCCAGGAAGCACAAGGGGTCAGAGAATTCTCTCCCCTACCCAAGGGAAGCTGTAAGGGACTGAGCCTGAGGAACGGTGCACTCCAGCCCAGACACTGGGCTTTTCCCACAGTCTTTGCAAACCACAGACCAGGAGATTCCCTCCAATACCTGTGCCACCAGGGCCCTGGGTTTCAAGCACAAAACTGGGAGGCCATTCAGGCAGACACCAAACTAGCTGCAGGAGTTTTTTTTTTTCTTTCTAGACCCCTGTGGCACCTGGAATGCCAGCGAGACAGAACTGTTCACTCCCCTGGAAAGGGGGCTGAAGCCAGGGAACCAAGTGGTCTGGCCTGGCAGGTCCCACTCCCATGGAGCCCAGCAAACTAAGATCCACTGGCTTGAAATTCTCGCTGCCAGCACAGCAGCAGTCTGAAATCGACCTGGGACGCTCCAGTTTGGTTGGGGGAGGGGCGTCCGCCATTGCTGAGGCTTGAGTAGGCGGTTTGACCCTCATAGTGTAAAGAAAGCTGCTGGGAAGTTCGAACTGGGCAGAGCCCACCACAGCTCAGCAAGGCCGCTATGGCCCGACTGTCTCTCTAGTTTTCTCCTCTCTGGGCAGGGCATCTCTGAAAAAAAGGCAGCAGCCCCAGTCAAGGACCTATAGATAAAACCCCCATCTCCCTGAGACAGAGCACCTGGGGGAAGGGGCGGCTGTGGGCACAGCTTCAGCAGACTTAAACGTCCCTGCCTGATGGCTCTGAAGAGAGCAGCAGATCTCCCAGCATGCTGTTCGAGCTCAGCTAAGGGTCAGACTGCCTCCTCAAGTGGGTCCATGACCCCCATGTATCCTGATTGGGAGACACCTCCCAGGAGGGGCTGACAGACACCTCATACCGGAGAGCTCTGGCTAGTATCTGGCAGGTGCCCCTCTGAGACAAAGCTTCCAGAGGAAAGAACAGGCAGCAATCTTTGCTGTTCTGCAGCCTCCGCTGGTGATACCCAGGCAAACAGGGTCTGGGGTGGACCTTCAGCAAACTCCAGCAGACCTGCAGCAGAGGGGCTTGACTGTTGGAAGGAAAACTAACAAACAGAAAGGAATAGCACATCCACTCAGAGACCCCATCCGAAGGTCACCAACATCAAAGACCAAAGGTAGATAAATACACAAAGATGGGGAGAAACCAGTGCAAAAAGGCTGAAAATTCTTTTCAACAGTTTAAAAATGTAGACATAATTCTTAGTTTGGGGGACACGAAAATACAGGTAGTGGGCTAGATTTTGCCAAAAGTTATTATTTACTGACCATTAAATTCAATAATAGTATTGTAACTGAATGATGATAATTGTATTATGGTTATGGTAAAAGAATGTCTTTGATGCTAAGAAGACAGAGTAAAATACTACGGAGTAAAGAGACATAGTATCTACAACTTACTGTCAAATAGCTGTATATAAATAAATATAATATACACACATACATGTATATATAAAGAGAAAGAAAGGGTAAAACAAGCGTGGTAAGATGTTAATATCTAAAGATTCTGGGTGAAGGATTAAAGGAAATTCTTTTGTGATTCTTGAAACTTCCTATAAGTCTAAAATTATTTCAAAATAAAAGACATTTTTCCCAGTACTTGCTTAAAATAATCTGGAGAAAAGGGATAACTAAGTACAGATAATAATAAAACAATGAGCTCCTAATTAAAGATAAGTGGCACACGAGGTTTAATTAAAAAATTATTTTTCTTTTAACTAAAATTTTCCAAAATTAAATGTTTATACACACACACACACACACACACCAGAGCTGTAACAATATGGGGAAGCCCTTAGAGTATCATTAACAAAGCATGATATAATTTAGGGGAGGGGATATAATTTAACAAGAGAAGTTAAAAATTTATATCACTTCTCATAATAATTTAATTTTCTATAATTTATTCTGTAAAAACCTAAAAAGTTGCACATACATTTAAAAAATACTTTCCAAGTAGTAATTCCAGTTGTTCATAGTACATAACAAAAAGTGATTAATTTTATGACTCCAAATTAGTGAGAGAAATAATAAAATTTTAACAGTTGTTTGCTATAGGAGGTAGCAATAGTGATAACATTTTTTACTTTTTTATACTTCTCCACAATTTTTAAAATTTTCTAAAATATTTATTATTCGTCACAAAGTCATACATGTAATAATCTTTTGAGATTTCTCAATTTTCTGGGAGGACAGATTAGTTTTAAAACTTAATTTTCTGAGCATTCATCAACATGAATAGAACTTGTCTAAACTGGAACAATATTGTACCAACTTTTTGTAAAGCAGTGGAAAGCATTTGTATCAACTTTTATAAATAAATAATTCAATCTGATATAAACACAGGTATGAGATGCTGGCCCTCTTCCCCTTATGGAAAAAAATAAAATAAAATGCTTAAGAGACAACAGAAGCAGGACCTTGTCATACTGACATGTTCCTAAAAGCTGAGTGCCATAAGTCAAAGTTGGGAAAAAGCTAAACTAGGGTCAGAATGACACATAGGGCTCATCCCAGTGGGAGTGGGCAGAAGTTAAAAAGCCTCACCCACAGAGTGTGGTGCACACTTGTCCTAATCGAACCAAAACCAGCATCCAGTGTGATTCAAGTTAAGTAAAAGGAGGGATCCACAGCTAGAGGTTTATTGTACAGCCCATGCTTCCTGGTAGGATAGTAGGAGTGCAGCAGGACTTCAGTGACTAGATCATCTAAGCCTAAACCAAGAAAGTGGATTGGCTGGGCATAAACCCCCCATGTAGGAGGACGGGGGTCATGTCATGGCTCTAAAACCAACAGAAAAAGGAAATTTACATAGGAAATTAAGGCTAAAAGCAGCTGTAAAAACGACTGGTGATGTGCAGCAAGGATATGCTGTGCTTGGCCATGTCAGAAGAATCCACAGAAAAAGAAACAAAAAGGATTGTAATAGGTTTACTGAAGAGTTTAAACTCACTGGAATGTAAAATGAAATACTTTTCCTATAACAGTCACTAATTTCAGCCTTTTTGGAGAATGAATTGTCTCAAAAATGTCTGGTTTATCTTGTTGATGTCCCAAACGCTTCTGGTTATTTTCAGCGTAAAATACTCATCCTCCAGCCCCCTTCTAGACCTGTTGACCTGTTCCTCTGTTATCTACAGCCTAGAGAGGGAAAGCTCAGCAAGCCCCATTCACCAAGCCAGATGTCAGCTTCTCTTCCTTTGCAGGCACCCAAAACCTCAAGAGTTTTTTTTGCAGTACCTTCTTACTCGCTTTTTTGCAGTACCTTCTTACTTGACTTAGATTAGAACAGTGTTTCCAGTCTTCCACAGGATTCAGATGTTTTCTTTATACAAATATGTGGGAGAATGAGCAAGCAGGTGTGGTGATTGACAATGGTAGGAAGATTTATGAAAGATATATGGACCCAAATAATTGGTGGCTTACAAAAATAAGATGTGCTAGCTAGTATCCTTTGTCTTCACTTTGGAGTCCTTACTTCAGTTCCTCAGTTGGGACTCATAGGAAAAGTCAATCTCAACGTTCTCTACAAAGGAAACTACAATGAACTTGGCACATTATGTCAGGTATTTTGTGCAACTTACTGAATCTTTACAATAACACTGGGAGCAGGGTTTATTTACTCCCTTTTTGGAAATAAGGAAACTACAGTTTTAAAAACATGAATAAACCTGCCTGATACTACTAAAGTAGTTTTGAATTTATACTCCTCCCATCTATTTTCAAAGCTTTTGTTTGGTGTTTTCTACTGTGTTGCCACAAATACACCAGATATACTTGTTTTGGATATTGCCAGAGAAAATAACTGAAGGAATTTATTGTCTTCACGAGATCTGGGTCAGAACCCATTCGAATCTGTTTACTGTTAGAATTTCAGTAACAGCAGATTACTGTCCTCAGTGATTCTAGATGATCAAAGGTAGTGAAGGCAAAGAATAAAAATCTCTCCTCATAATTTTGCTTTTCTCAGATAAAGTCCTCAATAGTTGCACAATAATGCCATTTCTATGCTGCTTCTTTTAATTTTAAATGACAAAAATTGTACATATTTATGGTACACAAGATGATCTTTTAATACAAGTATTGTATTAGTCCATTTTCATACTGATATGAAGAAATACCTGAGACTGGGTAATTTATAAAGAAAAAGAGGTTTAATGAACTCACAGTTCCACATGGCTGTGGAGGCCTCACAATAATGGCAGACGTCAGAGGAGGAGCAAGATGAGATTTGGGTGGGGACACAGCCAGACCCTATCATTCTGCCCCAGCCCCTTCCAAATCTCATGTCCTCACATTTCAAAACCAATCATGCCTTCCCAACAGTCCCCCAAAGTCTTAACTCATTTCAGCATTAACTTAAAAGTCCATGGTCCAAAGTCTCATCTGAGACAAGGCAAGTCCCTTCTGCCTATGAGCCTGTAAAACCAAAAGCAAGTTAGTTACTTCATAGATACAAAGCGCATATAGGCACTGGGTAAATACACCCATTCCAAATGGAAGAAATTGACTAAAACAAAGGGCTACAAGCTCCATGAAGTCCAAATCCAATAGGGTAGTCATTAAACCTTGAAGTTCTAAAACGATCTCCTTTGACTCCATGTCCAGGTCACACTGATGCAAGAGGTGGGCTCTCATGGCCTTGGGCAGCTCCACCACTGTGGCTTTGCAGGGCACAGCCTCCCTCTCGGTTGCTTTTACAGGCTGGCTTTTCTAGATGCATGGTGCAAGATGTTGGTGGATCTACCATTCTGAGTTCTGGAGGACAATGGCCCTCTTCTCACACCTCAACTAGGCAGTGCCCCAGTGGGGACTTTGTGCGGGGCCTCCAACCCCACATTTCCCTTCTGTGCTGTCCTAGCAGAGGTTCTCCATGGGGGCCCTGCCCCTGCAGCAAACTTCTGCCTGGACATCCAGATGTTTCCATAAATCTGAAATCTAGGCAGAAGTTCCCAAACCATTCTTCACTTCTGTGCACCTGCAGGCTCAACAATATGTGGAAGCTGCCAAGGCTTGGGGCTTGCACCCACTGAAGCCATAGCCCAAGCTTTACCCTGGCCCCTTTTAGCCATGACTAGAGCAGCTGGGACACAGGGCAACAAGTCTTTAGGCTGCACACAGCAGGGTGGCCCTGAGCCTGGCTCAGGAAACCATTTTTTCCTCCTAGGTCTCCAGTCCCGTGATGGGAGGGGCTGCCAGGAAGGTCTCTGATATGCCCTGGAGACTTTTTCCCCACTGTCTTGGCAATAACATTTGGCTCCTCATTACTTATGCAAATTTCTGTAGCAGGCTTGAATTTCTCCTCAAAAAATAGGTTTTTCTTTTCTATCGCATTGTCAGGCTGCAAATTTTCCAAACTTTTATGCTCTGCTTCCTCTTGAATCCTTTACCTACTTATAAATTTCTTCTGCCAGATACCCTAAATCATCTCTCTGAAGTTCAAAGTACCACAGATCTCTAGAGCAGAAGCAAAATGCCACCAGTTTCTTTGCTAAAGCATAACAAGAGTCACCTTTGCTCAAGTTCCCAACAAGTTCTTCATCTCCATCTGAGACCACTTCAGCCTAAACTTTACTGTCTATATCACTATCAGCATTTTGGTCAAAGCCATTCAGCAAGTCTCTAGGAAGTTCCAAACTTTCCCACACTTTCCTATCTTTTTCTGAGCTCTCCAAACTGTTCCACCTCTGCTTATTACCTAGTTCCAAAGTCACTTCCACATTTTCAGGTATCCTTATAGCAGCACCCCACTACCTGTTACCAATTTACTCTATTAGTCCATTTTCATACTGCTATGAAGAAATACCCAAGACTGGGTAATTTATAAAGAAAAGCAGGTTTAATGGACTCACAGTTCCACATGCCTAGGAGGCCTCACAATCATGGTGGGTGGTGAAGGAGAAGCAAAGGCACATTTTACATGGTGGCAGGCAAGAAAGCAGGTACAAGGGAACTGTGCTTTTAATGAAACCATCAGTTCTCATGAAATTTATTCACTATCACGAGAGCAGCATGTGAAAAACCCACTCCCATGGTTCAGTTACCTCCCACCAGGTCAATCCTACAACATATGGGGACTATAGGAGCTACAATTCAAGAATTGGATGGGGACACAGCCAAACCATATCATATGTACATTGTCAAATGGCTAAGGCAAGCTAATTATACATAAAAGACCCATATATCCCTTTGATCTTACTGGTTAATAGCTTTCCTGCTCAGCAAATATTTTATAGCAGCTTTTACATCTTTATTTCTCAAGCTATAGATTATGGGGTTTAACATGGGGGTCACAACCCCATAAAACATGGAAACAAGCCCCTCTGTAGCTTGCAAGTTGTCTTTCCCAAGGAGGTCCTGGGACTTAGGTTTTGCATACATAAAGAAGATGGTACCATAAAATATGATCACCACAGTCAGGTGAGCTGAGCATGTAGAAAATGCCTTGTGTCTTCCTGTGGCCGAGTTCGTTCGCAAGATGGTGTAGAGGATGAACATATAGGAGAAAAAAATCACGAGCAGAGGAAGAACTAGGAAAGCAATATTTGACACTGCTAGGGTAACAATATTGACAGATATATCAGAACAAGCTAATTTTAGGACAGCTAAGATCTCGCATAAGAAATGATTAATAATATTGTTCCCACAGAAAGGCCATCGCATGGCAAGTGATGTTTGCACAGTTGAATTGATTCCACCAGAAAGCCATGATACAGAAGTCAGCAGTACATACACCACCTTGTTCATGATGATGGGGTATCTCAGAGGGTTACAGATGGCCACATAACGATCAAATGCCATCATGCCAAGGAGGAAACATTCTGTTGACCCCATTGCAAACCCAAAGAACATCTGCACTGCACATCCAGAGAAGGAAATGTTTCTTTTCTTTGAGATTAAGCTCACCAGTGTTGAGGGAATGGAGGAGGTTGTATAGCAGATATCCAGGAAAGAGAGGTTGCCCAGGAAGAAGTACATGGGCATGTGAAGACGAGAATCCAAGATGCTTGCTATGATCAGAACACCATTGCCAATTAGAATCACTACGTACATAACTAGAATCAGAGCAAAGAAAATGATCTCAAGTTTGGGGTAACCAGAGAGTCCCAGAAGAATGAATTCTCTCACAAATGTCTGGTTTATCTTGTCCATGTCCCAGCTTTCAGGATGCCAAAGGAAGACCCAATGTATAATATTTTCACAGCCAAGCAACAAATGTAAAAAATAACTTGAATAAACATTACTCTAGGGTGAAATAGAGACTGTTTGTTTTAAAGCTCTGCCATTGAGTTATCTTCAATAGTATTTGTGCCTAGAATACAGCCACACTAGGATGTTTAGAGTTTCTATGCCCTGTATCTAATATGTGAAGATCTACCTAGGATCAGAAGTAAATACAGACACAACTTTTCTTATTGTTGAGGACATCCCAAGTTGAGTTTTCTAAAAGCCTTAGATTATTGCAGACAACAAACCTAACTTCTTCATTTAGTCAAGCCCAGTGAGAGAGCTGCAAAGAAGAAAAAAGACAACTCAACAAGAACCAGAATTTTGACCCAGCGTTTAATAGAAATGTTCAGAATTTTAAAGCAGGTTAGATGTTCACATACATTTGTTTGTCTGCCTAAAACTCTGAATGTCTTTCCAGTCAGATAAATGTGTATTTTTATAGGGAAGATATTTGATAATAGTAAATTGAGCCCCACACACTGCAATTTAACATCTGTTCAAAGGTAAAGTTATTTGTTGATCTCATTCTAACATCCCACTCTTACTATTTTGTTATTCCCTATGACAAGATCATGGTGTAGACCAGCTCTACAAGTATATGATGGAGAATCTTTGGAGAACAATACATGATCTCTATTTGTTTTACCATGGCTTCAGAGTTAATCTTGAGAATTCATTTAAGTAAACCTGAAAAAAGAGGAATAATAGTCAAACATATTTGTGTGTATGTGTGTGCAGCACTTTACAAAAGCAAATGAATCTTCTCATTATCCTTAATTTGCTTTTCTCAAATGTAAAAGACAGAATGTGGCCTATATGTACAAAGGGAAACTTAAAGCTCAGCTCTTTGGATGGCAACACCAAAAGTTATTTTACCTTGTTTTCGCAAAGTACTATCCAAAATTTTTAGCTTTGATGGAATTTCAATTTTTCAAATTTCATATGCACATAAATCACCTGAGGATACTGTTAACATGTAAATTTTATGTTAGCACGTCTGGGGCAAGGCCTGTGATTCTTCATGTCTATTAAGTTCCCAGGGTATGTTGAACCACTGAGATGAGGGCACATTTTGTGTAGCAAGACATTGGTTTATCTATAGTGATTTAGTAGAGTATCCAGAGATTTCTGATCCAAATAGATTTTCTTTTGTGTTATTATATGGACTGGCTTAACAACCTGGAAAATGACTGAAAGCCTAATTCTTTTGTGTTTGCCAGCATACTCCAGGGCCACATCTTGCTGTTCAGTATACTTCAGAAAATAAATGCTATTGAAACATTTTATGAAAGCAGGATAAACTTTTGCTGGACTGCTATAATATGGGTATGATATTACTGATTTCCTAACTTGAGCACAGTCCTCTTCCAACACAAGTAAGGGTGGAAAAAGTATGACACAACATGTCTACCATCAAAAAGTTCATAATTCAATAACAAAAACACAAAAACTACACATGGAACAATTTGATAAAGAATATTATTATATCATGTGGCCAGGGTGAATATTATAAGTAACCTCAGAAGGAGGAAGTAAAGGAGAAATAAATAAATCACGTGAGGGTCCTGAAAGAATTTCAAAGTTATACCAGGTCTGGAAGCACAAAAGGAATGGGGCAGGTTTGGAAGAGAAGAGAGAAACAGGGCTATTCCAGAAGGGAGAGCAGCTTAATGTTTTAGAGGAGCAGATTGGCAGTACCAGGGGAGTTTCAGCAGAAACACAACTGAAAAGTTAATGAGGCAGGCATATAGAAGGGCCCAAAGGTTAGGAAGAAAAAAAATGGCATTCCCTTTTGTATGTAAGGGACTTATTATTAGATAAGAACACCCAGCACAAGGTGATTGCTTAGCCCCTGTAACTTTAGCTACCTTTCAAACCTGACATTATATAATTTGATTTTATGAGGTTTTGAATAGACATGTGACACAAGGAATTAAGATGCTTAGATTAATTAGGTTATTATCAATTACTGCCTGGTACACACATACACACACACAGCCCATCATCATCTTTTCATAACCTCCAGTTTTTAGGTTAACCAAAATTGCAGGTTTAGGGCTCACGTGGGCTAACAGTTTTGAGAATATCTGCAGAGGCTCAACCCCTACTCTAACATTCAGTTTGTTATGTGATGATAAGTGAAAAATTTCTCTACAGTGTGTGATGTCTTGGAGTCAGAAGCCAAACCAGACAGAGGGATTCTCACTTCAGAAACAGTTTAAAGAATACCAGTAGAACATCTGAACTTTTAAGAGAAGCACAAATAAATGTTGGATCTCCAAATTAGAGATGAGAAAATTAAGCCTCAAAGAAATTTTAAATCTATATTTCCTCAGCTTAAGACTAGAAGTACCTATTGAAAAAAAAAACAAATGCTTTTTGTTTATTTAAGTGAATAAAATCACTTAAACAACTTCTATTGCAGACTTCTATGTGCCAGATCCTGTGCTTGAAATTTGCTTACCTGGCTGAGGTCACATGACTAGCACAGGCAAAGGCAAAATCCAAAGCCCATTCTCCTTCCACTACTTCTCTCTCTAAAAGGTAGCATTAAAATCTGTATAGAAATCATGTGTCAACAACAGAGAACAGTCAGTGAGTAACATAATAAATGGAGTTCATAAAGGTGAAACTTTAGTCTGTTAAAAATGTACAAGGAGAATGATTAATTCTTGAGGACTTAGTACTTCTCATCATGGAAGAAGGTTCACGGTTGTGGGATTGAATCATATGCCTTAGAACAGTCTATTTGCTGTGAAACCTTTCTACAGTACTTCGTAGCATAGGTCAAAATTCTCTCTCAAGCAGGCTACAGAAATCCTTTGAGGATGCATTGGATAAGTAACATCAACACGCTAGCAGCCCAGTCATGAAAGCAAACGGAAGAAAACAGAAAGATAATAACTTACCAGGAAAGGTGGTGATGATGTGCCAGATCCCGCCTAGATCTCCAGCCCAGGCTTTGCCTTCCAGACAAATGTAATGACAATGCATTTTAGGCTACCTAAACAGCTTCTTCTGCCATCTGCTCCAAGCCTTCCCCTCCTAGGAAGAAATTATCTCACCAATTCAATCCACCTTAAGCCAAGCCTGTCTTGCTACCCTTGGTTTTCTTCTTATCCCAGCTCTTTAAATTGGTTCTCTCATGTATTGTGAGATAACACGAGACATGGGGAAGGAGCTTGCTTGTCTTGCCCATTCCTCTACACCTATGGCCTAACACGGTGGCTACACATAATAGATGGGTTTTTCTAGGCTCTTAGGCAATTTCCCTGTGCAGTATTTACAGATTAATGTTCAGAACTTTAATATGCACAAAGTGTTTATTTGCAGCAAGTAATCTGTTAAAAAAAAAACAGAAAATATATCTTTCTGTCAGTACTAATAAGCTGCCAACTTATAAAGAGATTAACTGGTTTATGCACTGCCAGTATAAAGGCATCACCTAATTCACACTTGAACAGATATGGCATGGGGTTAGCCTAGTTAAAAAGTGCTTGGGATTCAGAAACAAAAATCCTAGTTTTGAGGTTATTTTTTCTTCTAATATGTAACTCGTTTTTCATTTGTTAAATAGTTATGGAAATACCTGCCCTACTTTTCTCACAGGTTTGTTTTGAGAAAAAATTCAGCTAGCATATGGAAACTGCTTTATGGATTAACCAGCACTATGCAGATCATAATAATGATAATATTATTATCATAGCCATATTTGATAATAATACCACATTGATAGCTGTATTGCCTAATGATATTCACACCATAAATCCACATGTAATAATAGCTTTAATTATAAATATAAAAGGTACAGTTTCATGGTATTCAGGACTTACCTTTACAATGATAAATTATGTCTCCCTCCTAGAAGAACCAGGTACTATTTCCTAGTATTTACGTCAGCATTATGAATTAAAGTCAGGTTCAACAAAAGATGTCAGGTTCCATAGATGTGGAACAGTACATATTTGTTATGCAACAGTTATTGTAATTGTTCCCCATTTCGCAAAGCAATTTAAAGTTGGAGTGAGAGATCTGTGGAATGGAGAAACTTCTGGTGCGTTAGGGACAGTGTCCCACAGACCCAATTAAGAGGGGTGCTGGAAATAGACTGTGGGTGAACTAAAGCTCACAAATGAAATAACACTCTCCTGCCCACATAACTTCTAGGAGCAGGGGCAGATGTTCACCAAACAAACTTTATGAAATGTGAGAGCGTCCTAGTTTAAAATATATCTACCAAAGTTAATTCAAAGTAAGAAATTAATAATTCAAGTGATGTTTACTAAAAATGACCTCGATATTATGAACGAAATAAAATGGATAGTATCTATGAATTAAATGCATTGTGATTAACTGTTTGCTTACTTTATTCTTTTTGAAAAATTAATTTTATGCAGCATGCGATTTTCAAGTTTTTTGAAATGAAAAGAAATACAGATAAGCAAGAAAATAAATAGATCCATGGGACAAAAGCAACTCTATATGTTTAAGGCCAAAAAAGTGAAAAAAAATCCAGAATTGATAGTTTGGGGTATTATTGGGAAGAAAGGACATTATTGAATTAAAGTGTCTTAGCAAAGTCTATTAAGCTATATTTTAGATATTAACACTTAGATTGTCACTGTAATTTTCTAGTAGATGTCACATTTCGTGTACAATACTTGAATTCTCAGAAATAACAATTTACTTAAAAAGCAAAAACAGTATTTATATACGCACACAGACACAAACACATACATACAAACATAGCCCTCTCAACCAACACACACACCACAAACCGTGGTGTGTGTACATTAAATACGAATAGATATATGTCAAGAGTTTTTTTAATATTATAGAAGTCTAGAGCTAGAAACTCTGCAAAAATCACTTAGTAAGACTTTTCTTCCTATAGATGAGTAAACTGTGGTAAAAGTGATGAAATACTATTCCCAAGTCATTGTTAGTATTTGACCTAGAGAGAATTCAGAACAGTCACTCTTCAGAAGAACCAGATAATGACAATAACAATAGCATATGAATTTTTACCAGTTCTTAGACAATAGCTAATGGAATAGTCTGAAAATATAGGCCTCATATGACTGGAAGATAAAGGACTCCTACATGGAGTGAGCAGTGAGACATTTTATTAACCTGAAGAGAGATTATTGGAGTGAAACTTACCTATATCTATTATAGAACTTCCCTACTGAATTCAGAAAAGGACTAGAATCAACAAAGGGGAGCCTTTATTCTCTTTTTGGAAGTGGCCTCTAGGGGACATAAGATGAGAGGGCATAGAGGCATTCGAGCAATGCAACAAAGTATGAAAATATATGCATCCCATTGTCTCCCTCAAGAGCAGGAAATATACATAAAAATTGATCTGCTTCTCAGCAGAAGAATCAGAGATGAATGGCAGTTGTAAGTCGGCTACTGAAAGGATCCAGGAGGAGCCATTGCTGGCAAATGGGTTATACTGGCCCATTATCTGGTTTCCAGGTGGATAACAGTGAATACTGACAGAGACAGACACTTATTCTGGATTTAGGTTTGCATACCTCGCAAATAAAGCAAATACTACTAACACCACTAGTATAGGCCAAGAGCAAATGTATTATTTTAATTTGGATGTTGGTCACCTTGTTAAAGAACCCTAAAATTCAACATTGAGTAACAAAGCATCATAAATAGTAGATTTATATCCATTCCCATTCACAAAAACATGGACAAATGAAAATTGAAATGAACAACTGAAACCCCTGCTTACAAAATTGGAGGGTAACAAGGACTAAAGGGATGTGTTTCACAACTGAATGAATGTGTGTTAAAACTTGCTATACATGGAATTAAATGGAGACCACCAATGGATCTATTACTGAGTTATTGTAGAAGATATAGAGAAGATAGTGGGAATGATACAGGTATTCACAGAAACTTTTCTGTTTCTAACACTTTTTCTTTTTATTTGCCTGCTTCTATGTTGGCGGGACATTCATTGCATTCATGAGTTCCAGAACATTATTTGCTGACTACAACACCATGACAATACATCTAAATATTACTACTGCCCATATTCCTAAAAGAATGATAATATGGATCATTCTCTCTTTTCACCTTTTAAAAGTGGGATTAATGGTTTCTGTCTTTCCTACCTGGTGGATGAAGCAGGCCTATATGCTTGCAGTTATCCAACTCTACTCCAATATAACAGAATTGATAAAGGGTTTATATTGCTGGCAACTTTATGTCAGTTCTCTAGCTGAACCTAACAGTCCTACTCCAGGGAAGATAATCTAAGTAAAATAAATTAAAAGTGGAGGAAAGGAGAAGTAATTGTAGCTATAAAAGGAGCCTATGAGAAGCTCTTTGGCATACTCTAAGATACATTTGGACGTTACTACTACAGTATGACAGTAACCTAGGAAGATCAACATTTGGGGTTCAAAATATACACTCAAACTCTATTTAAGCAATAAGCAGTTAACAACAATGTATTTGGTGTAGAATTCAACATTGATTGAATTGTTCTAAAAGACAGTTTCTCAAAAGTGGCCTGGAAAGTATGATTGAAGTTTTCAGAACTCTCCTTTTTGGACTGAAATTTCTTCCTCCTGTATCATGACCATGTCCTGTATCTCTCTTAAAGACTTACATGAGTACACAATCTGGAATCACATGTGTTCTGTAAAATAGCCAACCCTGGGTAAATGTTGCAATGCTTAATTTAAAAATCTGGCCTATCTCGAAATGTATTAATTTCTTTTTAAGAGATGGGGTCTTGCTCTGTCACCCAGGCTGGAGTGCAGTGGCACAATCATAGCTCACTGCAGCCTTGGATTCCTGGGCTCACGTGATCCTCCCATCTCAGCCTCCCAAGTAAATGGGACCATAGCCGTGCATCATCATACCTGATTAATTTTTAATTTTTAATTTTTTGTAGAGACATGGTCTCACTATGATGTCCAGGCTTTTCTTGAAATTTAGAAAATCAGTCAATATACATCCTGAATTATCTTATGGCAACAACCCACTGAAGTAAGAAATAACGTCTTTTATGTGACTCATGTGCCCTTTTCATGGTTCACAGTCCTCACCAGCACTGTCTTATTCTTAATTGGAGGAGGCATCATTCATATCACAACTTGTGTTCTGGAAGTGCATTCTCATAGACTACAATGTGAATGGGGATCGTTGGATTTGTGTCATTTAAATATGTACACACACAGATGTCCTGGACATAATTACATAATATATAACATGATGTAATTATGTCCAGAATTTGCTTTAAAGTAAAGGAAGAAGATAAGTGGGTATGGATAATGATGAAAGAAGGTTGACCATGTGTAATTATTTAAGCTGTGCAATTATACATTGACTTTCATTATTCTCATTCTTTTGTTAAATATTTGAAAATGAAAATTCTCAAAAAAATGTTTTAAAGAAAAAATATTCTTATATATATATAAACACAAATGTGTGTATGTATAAATGGAGATATATGTGTGTATGCGTATGTATTTAAATAGAGCTGCAAACATATTGGGGGAAACATATAATGGTATTTAGGGTAGTAATACGACCTTTCCAATGGTAAGTTAGCCAGGAACTTTAAAAGTTTATACCACCTGGCCTATTAATTTCATGCCTTAGAATTTATCCTGTGAAAACATGTGTTGGACATTAAAAAAAAATTTGGCCCAAGTGCTCATAGTAGATCTAATAAATCAAAATAAAAACATGATGAATACATGATTCCTACTTACTAAGAGAAACATTAGAATGATATATTTGGGAGGTGGCCAATTTTTCTTTTTTTAATTCTTTTTTATTTTTTTTAGAATTTTAGAAAATATTGAATTTTAAAATTTTAGAAAATATTACCTTAATGGGGTGACTTTCAGTGAGACATCTGGCTCTAGTAATTATTAGCTGAGAGTAAAAGAGGGGATAAATAGCAACTTTTAGTCCTCACTATGGAGTCTTAGCTTCAATTCTGAAATTCTTGGACACTGTGAAGCCAGTATTATGTTAGGTGCTTCCTCCAACTTATTGAAACATTAAATGATATTGGGACCTGGATTTTTTTATTATTTTATTTCCTTATTACAAGTAAGGTAACTATGTCTTAGAAAGAAAGAATAATCTATCCAATATCACCTAGGTAGTTTACGGAACTGCAGATTTTGTACTATTGCTCTCTATTTCCAAAGCTTATAGTGTGATTGTTTTCCACTATGTTTCTACACAGAAACACTCATTTCAGACATCACAAGGGATGAGATTCTAAGAGAATTAATTATGTTTGTGAAACGTGGATCAGGGCATGCTGGAGTTTGTAGCAAACTATAGTTATCAGTGATTCTAGATGAGCAGGGCTAGTAAAGGCAAAGGATAAAAATCTGTCTCTCTAACCATGGTTTCTCCAAAAAAGGTTCAGGCTGATTTACCTAAGAGTCCATCTTTGTGACTGTTAAACAAAGACCTACATGTCCTGGTTTCATTAGTGAATTGGTTTTTTGTTCAGCAAATATTTTACAGCAGCTTTTACATCCTTATTTCTCAAGCTATAGAGTATAGGATTCAGCATGGGTGTCACTACCCCATAAAACAGAGAAATGAGCTTGTCTAATGCTTGCAATTTTTCTTCCCCAATCAGGTCTTGAGACTTCGGTTTCGCATACATAAAGAAGATGGTACCGTAAAATATGATCACCACAGTCAGGTGAGCTGAGCACGTGGAAAATGCCTTGCGTCTTCCTGTGGCTGAATTCATTTGCAAGATGGTGTAGAGGATGAACATATAGGAGAAAAAAATGACCATCAGTGGAAGAACCAGGAAGGCCATATTTGATATCACCATGGTGATAATATTGAGGGATATATCAGCACAGGCCAGCTTGAGGACAGCTAATATTTCACATGCGAAATGATTGATAATATTATTCCCACAGAAAGGCAGTCTCATGGCAAGTAATGTTTGCACAGCTGAATTTATTCCACCGGACAGCCAGGACACAGAAGCCATCAATACATACGCCACCTTGCTCAGGATGATGGGGTATCTCAGTGGGTTGCAGATGGCCACATAACGATCAAATGCCATCATGCCAAGAAGCAGACATTCTGTTGACCCCATTGCAAACCCAAAGAACATCTGCACTGCACATCCAGAGAAGGAAATGTTTCTTTTCTTTGAGATTAAGCTCACCAATGTTGAGGGAACAGAGGAGGATGTATAGCAGATATCCAGGAAAGAGAGGTTGCCCAGGAAGAAGTACATTGGTGTGTGAAAATGAGAATCAAAGATGCTGGCTATGATTAGAACACCATTGCCAATTAGAATCACTAGGTACATAACTAGAATGAGAGCAAAGTAAACAATCTCAATCTTTGGGTATCCAGAAAGACCCAGAAGAAGAAATTCTGACACAAGTGTCTGGTTAATCTCACCCATGTCATCTGCTTTCAGGAAATCAAAAGAAGATCTAACATGAAATGTATTTACTGCCAAGAAACAAACAGTACAAATTAACTGAACAATCATTCTTTTGACACATATTAGAAGGAGTGCTTGCTTGAAGTTCTGACATCCAGTTATCTTCAGTAATGTGTGTGACTAGAATACAATGAAATTGGGAATGATGGAAGCACCTATACCGCATCGCCAATATGTGAAGATCTACCCACGATCAGACACACATGCAGACGGAACCTTTCCTGCTGTTGAGGACATGTTCCTGAGTTGAGGACACTCTCCCGAGCTGAGGTTTCTAAAACCCCTGGCCAATCAACAACTCTAAGCTTAACATCTTCATTTCATCAACCCCAGCAAACAAGCAGTAAAGGGGGCAAAAGACTACTCAACAAAGACTGGAATTTTAATTCAGCAATTTATAAAGTGTTTAAAATTTCACAGCAACTTTGACATTTTTGTGTGTTTATATTTTTTTCTAGGCCTGATACTAATACCTTATAGTTAGTTTAATTGTGTATTTTACAGACACTTAATAATAATACATTGAATCACATACCCTGAAATTTGACAATTGTTTAAAGGCATAGTTAGTTGTTGATCTCATAGTATCTTGTTATGACTGTTCCTATGACAAGACCATTGCCCAGAACAGCTCCGCATGAATGTGATAGTCTTTGGAGAACATTATATAGTGTCTTTACATATTTTACTCTGTAGCTTAAGAGTCTGTCTTGATAATTTACTCATTTAAATCAACCAATAAAAACAGTAATAATGTTTAAATATTTCATATAAATATGTATACATGTGTATGTATACCACTTTACCATTTACAAATTATAATATTCTTTATATTAACCCCATTTTTCAACTATAAAATATGGAACTTGGCCAAGATTAACTAGGTAGTAAATAATAAAATGTAATGTAAAGCTAATATTTTCGACACAAAGTCTAGTTCTTGGCTTCACTAATTTTCATATACACGTAAAGCATCTAGGAATTTTTTTTTCTTTTTTGAGACAGAGTCTCACTCTGTCACCAGGCTGGAGTGCAGTGGCACGATCGGGGCTGACTGCAACCTCCACCTACAGGCGTGCACCACCATGCCCAGCTAACTTTTGTATTTTTAGTAGAGACGGGGTTTCACTATATTGGCCAGGATGGTCTCCATCTCTTGACATTGTGATCTGCCCACCTCAGCCTCCCAAAATGCTGGGATTATAGGCATGAGCCACCACACCCGGCAAACATCTGGGAAACCTAAAAACCTTCAGATTCTCTTTTAGTGTTCAGGCCAGTCCTGAGATTCTGCATTTCTTGCAGGTGCCCAGGTGACGCTTATGCCACTGGTCCCAAAATCACTTGAGTAGCAAGGCTTAGTCTATACTAAGTTGGCCAATTATCTAGATGTTTCTAATTCAAGCCAGTTTTTTTTGCCTTATTGTGTAGATTGGCAATAAGAACCTTGAAAATGTCAAGAGCATAATTCTTTGATGTTTTACGGAAACTCCAGATTGACACCATTTTTTAAAATACCCTTTAAAAATATTATTGAAACACATATTTTTAAAAAGCAGCATTTTTAAAGTGCCTGTCATTACAAAGTTCACAATTTAGGTAGGGATATAAGAAAAGAACATATCAAAATAATTTACAGTCACTTTCTATAGCTTACATGAAAATTACAGTTTTTCCCAGAAGGAAGAATTTTATGAGAAATAAATTAGGCCAAGGAGAACTCCGGAGTTTCAGTGTTCAGCTGAACCTGGGAGTATGGAAAAGAATTAGACAGGGTTAAAAGAGAAAAGGGATATCTCAAAAGTGAGAAGTTGGACCAAAGTTAGGAGTAAGCCGACTGGCAGCACAAGGGAGTTTCTGTGAAAGAGTGGTGGGAAACACATCTGAGAAAGAAAGCCTGACAGGTGCATATAGAAAGGCTCTAAAATCAGGCAGAAAAAGTGTCATTTCTTTTGGTGGAAAAGAGGTCTATCATTAGAAAGCACAGAGCATGGGGTAAGCACCTCGCCCATTAGACTTTAGCAGTTCTCTAAATTTGACCTCATAGAATATGGTGTTACAAGATTTTTTAGTAGAAATGTAACTCAGGGAATTAAAGCATTTAGATTAGCGGAGTTGTCACTAATTACAGAATAGGCATGATAATTGATCTTTCTATAATCACTACTAGATTTAATTTTGGTCAAAATCACAAATGTAGGTTTTGCATGGGCTAATAGCTTTGAGAATGTTAGCACATCCACTCTTCCCCACACTGTGACTGTTGGTCACATGATAGTCACTGGGAAGTTTTGTGTAGAGCAGATATTACTAGGAGTCAGAAATCCAACTCAACAGAATCTTTACTATAGGAAAAATTTAGTTAAGGATACACAATAGAAATATTTAAACTTTGAAGAGAAAGGCAAGGAAGAGAATATACAATCTCAATCTTAAAGACAAAAAAAAATGAGCCCACAATAGATTGTTAATTTTTATTATTCAGCTTTAAGAAGAGAGAGAAGGAGGGAAACGAAGCAGGGAGGAAAGAAAGAAGGGAAGATGGGAGGAAGGGTAAAAGGGAAGGGAGGGCAAAAGGAGGAAAGGAAGAGAGTAAAGGAAGGAGGGAAGGAGGGAGGGAAAGGGGAGGGAAGGGAAGGGAAGGAAGGGAAGAAGGGAAGGAAGGGAAGGAAGGGAATGAAGGGAAGGAAGGAAAAGAAGGAAAATCTCTGCATTTCATTTATTTAGACAACTTTTATTGTAGCTTCCTATGTGCCAAATTTTGTGCCAAGGTCACATGTCTAATAACAAGCAGAGGTCCAAAGTCCACTCTCTTCATATTACTATCCTGCCTGACAAGTGGCATTAAAATCTATATAGAAATCAAATGTCAAAAGCAGTGGATGGTTAGTGAGAACCACAGAAAAACTGAGGTCACAAAAACAAATTGAATGTACTCATTCAACAGTGCCCAGAGAAAGGAGCAATTATTTATACTACTTCTGACTCCTCAAATGGGGTACAGAAATGGCCATAGGAAACACTGGCTAAGGGACATGCGCACTCTGATTAGCCCTGTCACAAATGCAAAAGGAAGTGAACGGCAAAACAATTCAAATCCACTGTCTTCTGCTCCTGACGCTTTAAATTGGTTATCTTGTATATTGTGAGATAAGAGACTTAGGGAAAGAGCTTGTCTGTTTTGCTCATCCTTCCACACCTAAGTCTAACTCAGGGGCTGCACATAATACATGGGTTTGAAATAGGTGAAAGGTTACTTTCTGGACTCAAGCAATTTCCCTGTGCAGTATTTGTGGATTAATGAACAGGACAACATTGGTATGCCACATTTATTCTTTCGCAGCAGGCTTTAATTTTAAAATATATACCTTTCATTCAGTACGGATAAGCTGCTATCTTATACAAATAATGAGCAGTTTGTGTACTGTAAGTATAGAGGAATCACCTAACACTTATTTGAATATATATGACATCGGCTTAACATAGCGAAAAAGTGCCTAACACTAGAATCAAAGTCTTCGGTTTGAAGTTCTTTGCCTGCAATTTACAGCCTCAGTTTTCTTATTTGTAAAACAGTGATTAACATACCTGCATTACTATACTTGTAGAATATTCTAAAAATATATATAGTGTACGAAAATTGCTTTAAAGATTAATTAACATAATACAACTAATAATTAAATGATACTAATAATTCACAGCTGTATTTTTGTGATAATAAATTGGTACCTATATTGCTTCAAATTATTCAAATTAAAATGCATGCTGAATAGCACCTTTACTTATAGATTGAGTTTAATTATAAGTTTCATGTGATTCAGGACTTACTTTACAGTGATAAATTATGTCCACCTCCTAGAAGAACCAAGTACTTTTTCTTAGTATTTATGTCAGCATTCTGAATTAAGGTCAGGCTCAACAAGACAGGCCAGATTCTACAGATGTAGAAGAGTAACTATTTGTTATGCAACAGTTATTGTAATTGTTCCCCAATTCCCAAAGCAATTTAAAGTTGGAGTGAGAGGTCTGTGGAAAGGAGAAACTTCTGGTGCGTTAGGGACAGTGTCCCACAGACCCAATTAAGAGGGGTGCTGGGAATAGACCGTGGGTGAACTAAAGCTCACAAATGGAGTAACACTCTCCTGCCCACATAACTTTTAGAAATAGCAGCAGATGTTCACCAAACTTTATGAAATGTTAGAGCTCCCTAGTTTAAAATATATCTACCAAAGCAAAGTTCGTTCAAAGTAAGAGATTAATAATTCAAATCATGATTACTAAAATGTAATGCTAGAAGTGAAAAATGATGTAGATATTATGAATGAAATAAAATGGATATTAGCTATGCATTAAGCACATTATGATTCAACTTTTTTGCTTACTTTAACTTAATTCTTTTTGATAAGTTAAATTCATACAGGATGTCTTCATTGAATTTTTTTGAAATGAAAAGTAATACAGATAAGCAATAAGTAAATCCACAGGACAAAAGCAAATTCATAAGTTTTAAACCACAAAAGTAAAAAGTCTGAAATGAATAGTTTGGAGTATGAATTCAGATAGGCATATTATTGAATTAACATGCTTTAGCAAAGCCTATTAAGCTACATTGTAGATATTAACACTGAGGTTCACTGTAAAATATTTGGGTTCTGAAAAATAACAGTTGGCTTAATAAAGCAGGGGAATAATTTATTCATGCACATACACACACACCCCACAAAACATCATACAGGTGCATTAAAATACAAACGGAAACATGTCAGGGATGTATATTTAAAATCATAAAATCTTAGAGCTGAAAACTTCTGCGGAAGTCATATAGTAAGATTTACCTTTTTATAGATTAGTAATCTGAGGTATGAAGTAATTAAATAATGTTTCAAAGTCACACAGTAGTATTTAAATAAGTCACAATTACAAGTCTAATAGTCAAGATAATAAGCACAGGAACTCTCTGTACTATGTTTGCAACTTGTCTATAAATCTAAAATTATTCCAAAATAACATTTAAATAAATAGAAATTAAAATATATCCAGGATTCTTATGTTTTTTCATTGCAGTATCACAGAAGTTTTCAGACCAAAAATACCATAGAAGTCAGCTAAGATTCCACTTTCTATAAGTGAGTAAACTGAGATATAGTGATGAAATATGTTCAAAGTCACAAAATCACTGTTAATATTTCAATTGGTAACAACTACAAAGTCTAATATTCTAGGTGACAAATTTCCAAAATAAAGAAATAATAAATGTTGGAGATAATTAATATGTTAAATACCCTGATCTGGTCACTACACATTCTATGTAGTGAAACATCATTATTACCCTACGAATATGTACAATTATTATCTGTCAATTTATTTTTTTTGTTTGTTTGAGATGAAGTCTCACCCTGTCGCCCAGGCTGGAGTATAGTGGTGCGATCTCAGCCCACTGCAACCTCTGCTTCCCGGGTTCAAGCGATTCTCTTGCCTCAGCTTCCACACTAGCTGGGACTACAGGTGCCCACCACCATGTCTGGCTAATATTTATATTTTTAGTAGAGACGGGGTCTCGCCATGTTGGCCAGGCTGCTTTCAAACTCCTGACCTCAAGTGACCCACCTCAGCTTGCCGAAGTGCTGGGATTACAGGCATGAGCCACCATGCCCAGCCAAAAAATAAATAAATAAATAAATAATTTTTTAAAAAGAAGAAAAGAAACTACATTGCCATGATACTCTGCTATTTTACCACATCTGATTACACATTAAAAAAAGGCTTGGCCGGGCATGGTGGTTCACACCTGTAATCCCAGTACTTTGGGAGGCCGAGGCCTGTGGATCACCTGAGGTCAGGAGTTCAAGACCAGCCTGGCCCATATAGTGAAACCCCATCTCTATTAAAAATACAAAAAATAGCCATGCGTGGTGGCGGGTGCCTGTAATCGCAGCTACTCAGGAAGCTGAGGTGGCAGAATCACTTGAACCTGAGAGGTGGAGGTTGCAGTGAGCCGAGATCGGCCATTGCACTCCAGCCTGGGCAACAAGAGCAAAACTCTCTCTCAAAAAAATAAAATAAAATAAAATAAAAAAGAGAGATTGACAATCACAAAAAGATACCCTTCAAAGATACCCTTCAAAAAAATTTACTTTCTTGTCTAATAATTATCAAAATTTGAAATATATTCATAGTGTTTTCATAGATTATATATTACTAATAATTAAAACAATCCTTTAGCAGGAATTTTCTAACACTTGGTCATGGTAAATATATTTTTCTTTAAGTTAATTTATCTCAATTTTTTGTTGTCAAGAAATGATGATCAATAAAAGACTTTAAAGATTTTAAAAAGTATTTTAAAACTTTTTTTGTATTTAAAAACCTGTGTTTATTTATTATATTTTAAATTTTGAGAAGTTTTTTCTAGTGTCCTACTTTTTAAATTAGTTTTGTCAAAAAATATGTACTGGAAAATAATATGTGCCAGCTGTTTTTTAAGTACTGGAGATCCAGTGTCTGATTTAGCATTTTGTAAAGAACTGAAGGCTAGAAAAAGAGTTGTATTAAGTACACATGACATATAATGGCCACATTATCTATATGAGAAAAAACTAATACTTCTTACAAAACCATTAAAGTAACAACATTTTTTTCCAATAAATATATTTAAAATAAAATGTTAGAAAATTCCATTACTTTAATGGGGAATATATTTACATCAACATTTTAGAGTAAAAATTGACCTGTGAAATATAAACTTAAACATCTCTATCAATAAAATAATAAAAATAAAATAAAAGTGAGTTGTATATTTTTTCTTTTTCCTCCCCAGAGAATAGAGTGCTTTCTTTGTACAAATATCAACGCTATTTTATTGATTTATATTTTGACAAATTTATATGAGCCCCAAGAAATAATTTTAGTGAAACATTACTTTTATCTTCATTTCTTATGCTTCACTTCTTAATAGTAATACCTAGCAGCATCTTGAAGTTCATAAAATATGTTCATATCCATTATGGCATGTAAGAAACATTTTTGAGTATCTGTTATCTTCAAGAGAATGAAATTGCTACAGTCCCTCTCAAGGAAATCTGAACATAGTAAGATAAACATATCTATAAAGTAGTGAATATAATATAATTTGATGACTAGTAGAAAATGATGTATAAGTACAATGTTACTATGTTTCTACAGTAATTTCCTCTCCCCTACTTTAATGTGCCTAGTAATTCTAAAAGGTCACAAAAAAGTTAATTAGAATGTAATGCTTTATAAGCCACATCAATAAACAGCTTAAGAGCAAAACTGCATATACTTATACCAGAGTATGGTAGCTGAAGACCCACAATATTGCTATCTATATCTCTTCAGTTCATCTCCTGATTAATTCCCTAAGACATTACTAGCTTAATTTTCTCCAGAATGTTCCACTATCTCAGTTCAGACACTGGAATGATTTTGGTGTTCTCATCTTAATTTGAGTCTTTTTCTGCCTTATTTCTTAGTCAGAGATAGATTAATTGGAGGGGAGGTTAAAAGGTATCTGACTGATGTTTTAATTTGAAGTAAATAATCTAGGCAATGTGTTTCTCTGATGGTACCTATTAAATTGAGTATTAATAAGGAGCTAAATTATTCCTTTCACATCTTGATCACCAACTCAAACACTAGTAGTAGTGGTGAATTATTTTTAAAAAGAGGAAGATACAGCATGGCAGGGCGTGGTGGTTCAGGCCTGTAATCCCAGTACTTCAGGAGGCCGAGGTGGGCAGATCGTCTGAGCTCAGGAATTCAAGACAAGCAACATGGTGAAACCCCATCTCTACCGAAAATACAAAAAAATTAACCAGGCGCGGTGGCAGGCACCTATAGTCCCAGCTACTCGGGAGGCTGAGGCACAAGAATCGCTTGAGCCTGGGAGGTGGAGGTTGCAGTGAGCCGAGATGGTGCTACTGCACTCCAGCCTGGGTGACAGAGTGAGACCCTGTCTCAAAAAATAAATAAAAAAATTTTAAAAGAGGAAGATATAGAACAAAACATGTGGTGGGTGGGGGGTAAGGTGGAGAGTAGAGAATACAAAAAGAAAGTAAAAGTGGTACTCAAAAATCATTTATGTGGTTTCAAAGACAAAGCTGTACTACTACGTGGAAGTTCACCAAACCAATTTGTTGTTATTTCTACTCTCCATCGGTAAAATAATTGATCAAGCATGGCAAAAAAATTTGAACTTCCAGCCTAGTTCAATTTATTGTATAGAAAACTAATGAAAATATGCAGTTGCTTATATTATATTACCTTAGTTGTAGAGTAGCTACTGGAGCCTGGTAAAGAAATCCAACTTTGACTGTATAAAGATGAGCTAAATGAGTGTGCTAGCTGTATGTTTATCTCTGTGATCACCTGGAAATTGAGGACTGGCACTTGGTCAAGAGAAGGATGAAATGTCCTGGCTTGTCATTAATAATGTGCTATTTGAAGTCCAAAACTCCCCTAGAGGCATTCTTTACTAATTTGTTTACAATAATGCTTTGTATGTGGCTTAATTTTTTACATGCCAGATTTTAGCTGGGGGCCAGTGGGGTATAAAAGACCTCTAATCAAACTTGAGCCTTGGTTCTACTGAGACCAAAATATGTTGATATATATCTCGGTGTTTCAAAATTGAAAGATAAAGTATGGCTTCATAAAATAAGTTTTCTCTTCAATTTTTTGGAAATTTTCAAAAATGATTGGCATTAATTTGTCTTTAAATATTTGATAGAATGGACCAGGGAAGCCATCAAGACATAGGTTTTCTTTCGGGTGAGGTTTTTTATTACTGATTCATTCTCCTTACTTGGTATTGGTCTATTCTGATTTTTTATTTCTTCATAATTGTCTTAGTAGGTTGTATGTTTCCAGAAACTTATCCATTTCTTTTAGGTTATTCAATTTGTGGTATATAATTGTTCACAGTAGTTTCGTATAATCCTTTGTATTTCTGTGGTATCAGTTGTACTTTCTTCTTTTTAATTTGTAACTTTATTTATTCTCTCTCTTTTTTTAGTCTAGTGAAAGGTCAATTTCTAGTTTTATTAATCTGTTCTGTCATTTTATAATTTCTATGTCATATGGTTCTGCTCTGATTTTTATTATTACAAGAAAAGAAAACTACAAACCAATATCACTGATGAACACAGATACAAAAGTCCTCAATAAAATACTATCAAACTAAGTTCAACAATACATTAAAAGAATCATACACCATGACCAAGTGGATTTATCCTTGGGATGCAAGTATGGTTCAACATATGCAAATCAATAAATAGGATGCATCATATTAACCGGATAAGCAATAAAAATCATAAGAAGCATCTCAACAAATACAAAAAGGCATTTAACAAAATTCAATATATTTTATGATTAAAAAATAACTCAACAAATTAGGTGTAGAAACAATGTACTGCAACATAATAAAGACAATATATGACAAGCCTCTAGCTAATATTATACTCAATGGTATAAAGCTGAAAGCTTTTTCTCTAAAATGAAGAACAAGACAAGTATGCTTACTCTCATCACTTCTATTTAATATCATCCTGGAGGTCTTAGCCAGGGGATTTAGGCAAAAAAAGAGAGAGAGAAACAAAAGGCATAGGCATCCAAATGAGAAAGAAAAAACTAAAATAATCTTTGCTTGCAGATGACATATTCTTATACATAGAAAACCCTGAAGGCTCTACCAAATTATTGTTAGGACTAATAAATGAATTTGGTAAAGTGGCAAGATACAAAATAACATGTAAAATTTATTTGTGTTGTTATACACTAATAATAAACGATGAGAAAAAGAAATTAAGAAAACAATCCCATTTACAATAACATAAAAAATACCAGGATAAATTTAGCCAAGGAGGTGAAAGATCTATACACTGAAACTACTGGTGCACAAGTAATTGCGGTTGTTGCCATTAAAAGTAATAGCAAAATGCACAATTACTTTTGCAACAACCTAATATAACACATTGAGGAAATATTTTTGGAGAAGACACAAATAAATGGAAAGATTCAAAGAAGTTCAAAGAAATAAAATAAAATTCTCATGGAATCACAAATGGTCTCAAAAATAGCCAAAGCAATCTACAGCAAGAAGAACAAAACAGGGTATATTACACCATCTGATTTCAAAATATGCTACAAAGCAATAGTGATCAAAAGAGCATGGTACTGGCATCAAAAAAAAACTGAAATATATATCAATGGAATACATTAGAGAGCCCAGAAATAAATCTATGCATTTATAGTCAATTGATCTTTCACAAGGGTGCCAAGAACACACAATAGAGAAAGGACAATCTCTTAAATGAATGGTGCTGGGAAGGCTTGATAGCTACAAGCAGAAGAATAAAATTGGCGCCTTATCTCAAACAATATACAAAAATTAATTCTAAATGAATTACAGATTTAAATGTAAGACCTGACACTATAAAACTACTAGAAGAAAACATAAGGGAAAAGCTTCTTGACATTGGTCTGGGCAACGATTTTTTTAATGAACCCAAAAGCACATGGAACAAAAGCAGAAACAGACAAATGGGACTGCAGCAAACTTAAAAGCTCCTTATAGAGAAGGAAACAATCAACAGAGTGAAGAGACAATTTATGGAATGGGAGAAACTATTCACAAACCATATGTCTTAATTCATTTTCTGTCACTTAGAATACCTGAAACTGATACATTTTTAAAGAAAAGAAATGTATGTTTCATAGTTATGGAGACTGAGAAGTCCAGCAACAATGTGCCACAACCAGTGAGGACCTTCTTACTAGTGGGGACACTGCAGAGTCCCAAGGTGGTATAGGGCATTACATGGTGAGGGGACTGAGCATCCTAGCTCTGTTCTCTCTTCCTCTTCTTATAAAGCTACCAGTGTCATCCCATGATAGCCCATTAATTCGTTAACCCATTAATCTATTAATTCATTAATCCATGAATGGATTACTTTAATGCCCAAGCATCTCTTAAAGGCCCCATTTCTCATTACTGCCACATTGAAGATTAAGTTTCAACATAACTTACAGAGGGAACAAACATTCAAACCAAAGCACCATACATCTGATAAGGAGTTGATATTTTCAATACATTAGGAACTCAAACAACCCCAAAACAAATAATAATAATAACCCTCACTTTAAAACTTTGCAAAGGACCAGAATACATACTTCTAAAATAAGTCATACAAATGGCTAACAGGTACATAAGAAATGCTCAACATCACTAATCATCAGAATAATAGAAATTAAAACAACAATAAAATATCACCTCACACCTGTTGTAATGTCTATTATCAAAAAGACAAAAGATAAGCATTGGTGAGAATGTGGAGAAAAAGAAGCTCTTGTATACTGTTGGTGAGAATGTAGATTGGTACACCCATTATGGTATGAAGCTTTCTCAAAAATTGAAAATAGAACTACTATATGATCCAGCAATCCCACTTCTGAGTAATAGCCAAAGGAAATGAAATCAGTATCTCAAAGAGCTATCAGCATTCTCATGTTCACTGCAGCATTGTTTACAATAGCCAAGATATAAAATCAACATAAGTTTTCACTAAAAGGTGAATGTATAAAGAGCATGTGATATTGATATACATACACATAAAATGAAATTTTATTAAGCTTTATAAAAAAGAAAATATTTTCATTTGCAACAACATGGATAATTCTGGAGAACATTATGCTAAGTGAAATAAGCCAGGTGAAAAAAGACAAATACTGCATGATCTCACTTATATATATAACATCCTAAAAAGCTGAACTCACAGAAACAGAGAGTAAAATGGTGGTGACCAGGGGCTGATGGGAGGGGAAAATGAGAAGTTTGTCAATGTGTAAAAAGTTTCAATTATGCAGGATGAATAAGTTCCAGAGATCTAATCTATATCATAGCAACTATGGTTTGTAATGCTGTATTGTATGCTTAAAATTTGCTGAGATTTGGTCTTAAATGTTCTCAACACACAAAAAAGGATAACTTTGTGAGGTTATAAATATGTTAATTATCTTGATTGTTTCAATCATTTGATTATCTATATATATGTAGATCAAAAAGTTGCATTGTGATATGGTTTGGCTCTGTGTCCCCACTCAAATCTCATCTCAAATTTAATTCCCACATGTCAGATTAGGGGACTAGTGGGAGGTGATTGGATTATGGGGGCCGACATCCCCCTTGTTGTTCTCATGATAGTGAGTTCTCATGAGATCTAATGATGTAAAACTGTGTGGCACTACCCCTCTCTCTCTCTCTTTCTCTCACTCTCTCTCTCTTTCTCTCTCTTCTGCCAACACATAAGACATGCCTTGTTTCCCCTTCACCTTCTGCCATGATTGTAAGTTTCCGGAGGCCTCCCCAGCCATGTGAAACTGTGAGTTAATTCCATAACTCACAGTTTAATTAACTCTTTTCTTTATAAATTATTCAGTTTCAGGTAGTTCTTTACAGCAGTGTGAAAACAGGCTAATACACACCGTATACATTTAACATATATAATTTTTACCTGTCAATTACACCTCAATAAAGCTGTGCAAATGCAATAAAAATGAGCAGATAGATGGTACTCTGGTTTGAATATCTCTTCCAAAACTCATGTTGAAATTTGATCGCCAGTGTGATGATATTGGGAAGTGGGGCCTTTGAAATGTGATTAGGTCATGAGGTCACTGCCCTCATGACTGGCTTAACGTTATTATTATTTCAGGAGTGAGTTGGTTATTGCAGAAACAGGTTTCTGATAAAATGGATGAGCCCTATTCTCTGTCTTGCAAGCTCACTTGCCCTTCTGCTCTTTTGCCTTTCTGCCCTTCTTCCCCTCTGCCATGGAGTGACCTTCATCAGATGCCAGCACCATGCTCTTGGACTTCTCAGCCTCCAGAACTCTCAGCCAAATAGAGTTCGGTCCTTTATAAATTACCCAGTCTGTGATACTCTGTGAGAGCAGTAGAAATTGAACTAAAACAGAGAGTAAATCTACTAAAATTTTAATAGATCAATATGAGAGAAACAGATGATCTAGCTGCCACATCATCTCCTCAATCTGTAATGACTGCAAGAGATTGCCTCAATGTATTTCAGGCCTGATGAATTTAAAACATACGATGATGATTAGTAGAAAAATCTAAATTCCTCCAGAACCAGTGCCAATTAAAATGGTATGAAGTAAAGTATGAAATTATGATTCTGAGTCAGGGTATGGCCAGGTTTATTTGCTGCAACCCCATCAAGGGACCTAAAGCATTTTGAATTGGTACATAAAATTGCCTGGAGGTAGTGTGGAGACTTTAATGGAATTTTTGGACACTAGTGCACAATGTGCTAAAATGAAACATGCTAACAAATAAAGTGTAATATAATTAGGGGGATAAAGTGGTGCAATTGTAGAAAGATTAAAATTTAAAATTATGCTTAAGGTATACATTTTAGAATGAAAGTTACATATGTTTGTTGTATCACCCCTACCAGAAAGTATTTCTGAAATGTATCTGATGTCTGAATGGAAGATATTTCCCTTATGTGAATAATCAGATTATGCAAATCTTCATTCTGTTTTAATAGAGTATGCTACATGGGAGCCTTTAGAATTATCTGAACACACTCAAGTGGCTAATGTAGGATACTAGGGTTCATCGAGAAATTTTGGCTTTAATTAAGGATATGTGTATTAGTACAATTTTCTCATATAATCATCCAAAATGGCCTGCAGTCAATGGATCCTGGAGGTTAACTGTTAACTATTGGGACTAAATAATGTGATCACTACAATAACCTCAGCCATACCTAAAGTTGTGTTAACAATTCAAAATGTGCATCAAGCTAGGGAGATTGGTATTTTGTGATCTATTTAACTAATATATTATCTTCTATTTCTATTTCAGAACAAATTCAAAGCCAGTAAAGATGGATACCAATGCATAATTACTGTGTTCCCAGAGGACATTTAAATTGTCTTGTTTATTGCCACATTATAGTGAGGAGACATTATATTCAATTGAAAATTACTGTTATTAATTATTTTGATGATGTAATTCTGTTTTAATCTGAATGTCAAACTGAATTACAAATGATGGTAAATAATACAGCCACCAGGGAGTGATTGATTAAACTTTCTAAAATATAGGGTCAAACACAAGCAGTATTTTTTCTGAGGATTTTTAGAAATTATTTGGGCTGAAATCACTAGAAGACATTCCTCAAACAATCAAAAATAACTTATTATTCTGTGAGCTCCAAAATCAAAACAAGAGACTAAAAAATTGATTGATTGATTTATGAATAAATCATATATCATATCTGGTAATATTATTATTCTCCATTCACAGAACTGCCAGGGGATAAGGAAATGCTGAATTTGAATGGAGCTCTGAACTGTTAACATCAGGGGCTCTGAACAACAGCAGATGCCCTTGGAGCTTCTAATAGCCATTGCCCTGTTGAAACCTTTGGAATCCTAAAACCCCAATTCTCATATATTACTAGCAGTGTCAAATTGTAATCACAATGATGGGAGCTTTTGGCCAAATTCCATTACTGCTACTACACTGGGACAACCATGGGGATTTTACCATAGACAATTACTGTAGGAGGCCTCCAGTTTCATGCCTTTTGAAAGTCAATCATTGGCATGTCAAGCATTAATTTAGGCTTATTCTGTTAGGAAAGTATGTAAAATTATTTTGACAACTGAAATATGCATAATATTATGGGTCATATGAGAAGAGCATTCCAACAGAAAGATAAATGCACATAAGCGTTCCTGGTTAAATGGAAATGGCATATTCAAGAACATGAGAAAGTGGACAAGTGGAGGTATCCATAGCATACATGAAAAGGTCTGCTATGTCTTTGGCCACATACTAATCTCCTTGAGTTTTTTACCCCATAGACAAATGGACCCCTCCCTATTACCAGTTATCAGAGGATGCCAAACAAGCAGCACCATGTCTACTCTCCACCATGTCAAGCGTAGAAAGCTGACACTCAACTTCAAAGATAACAACATTGTGACTGGTCTATAACTGCACTTCAAAAAAGAAAAAGATAAATCTGCCCAGTGGCAGAATTAACACTGTATCTCATCATCAGAGAAACTAGATAATAAAAACAATAATATAGTATACACAATTCTTAGGCAGCAGAGTATGGATTGGCAATTTAGTCTGAAAAATGAGCCTTATAAAAACTGAAAGATAACAAGGGAATCCATGTATGAGATGGTAAGTTACAGAACATTTTATGGACCTGAAGAGGGATAACCAAAGTGGGATAGGTCTACGCCTGTCATAAAATTTCATTCTGAATTCAGAAAAGGACTAGAATAAACAAATGGAAGACTTCATTAGCTCTTTGAAAGTGGCCTCTTGGAGACATGAAACAAAAAGGCATGGAAGCATTCAAGCAGTGCAACAATGTGTGCAAAAAATATGCATCCCACTCTCTCGAAGCTGCAAATGTACCAAAAATTGTTATGCTTATCAGCATAAAGAAATTGGAAACTAAAAGCAGTTATGGACTATGCATTAATTTCCTAGGGCTGCCATGACAAAGTACCACAAACTCGATTACTTAAAACACCAGCAATGTATTATCTACAGTTCTGGAAGCTCAAGTCCAACTCAGGGTGTTAGCAGGGTCAAGATTCCCTGAAATTGGTAGGGGGAAATCTTCCCTTGCCTCTTCTTAACTTTGGGTGATTTGTCAGGAATCCTTGGCATTCCTTGGCTTGCAACCATGGTGCTTCAGTCTCTGCCTCCATTGTCACATGGCATTTTCCCCCATGTGTCTTGTGTCTCTTTGTCTCTGCTGTTCTTACAAGGACACTAGTCATATTGTATCAATAATTCACCTTGCTCCAGTATGATCTCATCTTAACTAATTACAACTGCAATGACCCTATTTCCAAATAAGGTCACCTTCTGAGGATTCTGACGTTAGGACTTCAACACATCTTTTGGAAGGACACAATTCAACCCAAAATATAATATTTACTGAAAGGATCCAGGAAGACTTAAAGTTAGCAAGTGGATTATACTGGCCATTACCCTTAGTTCCAGGTGGATAAAAATGACTCTTGAATAAGAGAGACACTCGTTCAGGATTTGGATTTGCATACTTAGAAAATAAAGCAAATACCACTACCACTATTAAAGGCTTATAACAAGCTTATACTAATTTGAATGTTCAATACCTAATTAAGGGATCTATTTTACTCCAAGTTAAATATAACAAGTTATGAAGCATCATATACAATAGACTCATCATATACATCGATGTACAAAGTGGACTGATTGAAAACCTAAATCTGCTTATTAAATGTAGGGAGGGTGACAGGAGACTGGTAGGATAACTTTCACAACTGAATGAATTTGTGTCAAAATATATGTATGTTAAAGAAAAGAGGGATTGATGAATACATTATTGAGATATATTTATAAAGACATGGAAAAGTGACAGGAAAGATATAAGCACTTACAGAAACTTCCCTATTTCTAATTTTTTTCTTTGCTTGATAATATTGGTGAAACACAGATAGCATTTTTGAGTTTTGGAGGAAGGATCAGTTGCTGAACATGATGCTGTGACAGTATCTCTAAATATAACTGTCCATCATTCCTTCAGAATGAGTCATTCCTTCTTTTCATTTTTTAAAATGTGGGATTCGTGGGCTTTGTCTCTTTCCTGCTCAGTGGATGAGGCAGGCCTATCTGTTTGTGTTTGTCTAACCCTACTCCATACAATGATGAACAGATGAAGGGGAAAATCATTGGGTAGACTTTTGTTGCTGCCAGTTTTTTGGATCAGTCATCTTAATGCACTTAACAACCTAACCTCAAGGAGGATAATCTGGGTAAAAATTAATAAAAATAAAAGAAGGGTAAGTATTTACTGATATAGAAGAAAGCAAAGAAAAAAACCAATTACACAAAAAGAAAAGGCTAACATGAACTGGTTATCTCAGGAGATGTTGATAGCAAGAGACTATTATCTCTTGGATGTATTTTTAAATGCCATCCACAAAAACAAAGCTATTTTCCTGCAGAAACCTTCTTTCTTTAAAACCTTTGTTTAAAACATGTTCAAAGTGTCATGTGCTCTAATGGTGGAGGACGGTAAGCAAAGTAACAAATAATTGACAAATTGAAACCATTGTTAGGTCAGGGTTTGCTGAGGAAGCCTATGGGAATCTCTTTAGCTTCCTCAAACTAAATTGTATTTGTAGGTTACTAACTCCTGTTATGATAGTGTCGTTGGGAAATCAACATTTGGGGTTCAAAATGTGTACTCAGACTATTGACAGATTGAAACCATTGTTACGTCAGGGTAACCAGCAATAAGTCATTAATGCAAATAACATGTTTGATATAATTACAAAAGGATAAATTTAGCAAGAGAATAGAATAATTCTAAATAAATCTATATATACCCTAAACTGGAGTACCCAATACAAATAAAATTAGGTTGGTGCAAAAATAATTGTGGTTTTGATAAAATTCAGCATCCCTTCATAATAAAAACTCTCAACAAACTAGGCATAGAAGGAACATATCTCAGCATAACAAAACGTTATGCTGAGGCCATATATGACAAACCCACAGAAAACATAATCCAGAATGGGGACAAGCTGAAAGCCTCTCCTCCAAGAATTGGAACTAGATAAGAATACCCACTTTCACCACTCCTATTCAACATAGTACTGGATGTCCAACCCAGAGCAATTAAGCAAATATATAAATAAATTAGAAAATAAGTAAATTAGAAAAGAGGAAGTCAAATAGTCCTTATTTGCAGATGACATGTTCTTATATTTAGAAAAATCAAAAGACTCCACCAAAAACTCTTAGATCTGATAAATAAATTCAGTAAAGTTATAGGATACAAAATCAATATACAAAAATCAGTAACATTTCTAGAAACCATAAACAAAGTAGCTGAAAAGGAAATCAATAAGTAAATCCCATTTATAATAGCTAAAAGAAAATAAAATACTTAGAAATAAGTGTAACCAAGGAGGTAAAAGATTTCTACAAGGAAAACCTCAAAACACTGGTGAACGAAATTGAGGAGGATGGAAATGGAAAGACATCCACACTCATGAATTAAAAGAATTAATACCATTAAAATGACCATACTATCCAAAGCACCTATAGATTCAATGAAATTCCTATTGAAATGCCAATGTCATTTTTCACAGAAACAGAAAAAGAAATTCTAAAATTCATATGGAACCAAAAAAGGGCCCAAATAGCCAAAGCAATCCTGAGCAGAAAGAACAAAGCTGGAGACTTCACACTACCTGACTTCAAAATATATTCCAAGGCTATAACAAACAAAATATCATGGTGCTAGTATTAAAATAGACATATAGACTGACAGAAAAGAATAGAGAATCAGAAATAAATCCACATATTTACAGCCAACTAATTTTTAACAAAGGCATCAAAAATCTATATTGGGAAAGAGACACCCTCTTTAATAAATAGTGCTGGGAAAACTGAATATCCATATGCAGAAAAATAAAACTAGACCGCTAAGTCTCACCACATAAAAAAATCAACTTAAAATGGATTAAATACTTAAATGTAAAACCCAAAACTATAAAATTATTAGAACTAAACATGGGGGAAACACTCCATGACATTGATCTAAGCAATGACTTCATGGTTAAACCCCAAAAGCACTAGTAACAAAAATACAAAATAGACAAATGGGGCTAGGTTAAATAAAAAGTTTCTGCACAGCAAAGGAAACAATCAAGAGTGAAGAGACAGCCCACAGAATGACAGAAAATATTTGCAAACTATTTATCCAACAAAGGACTAACATCCAGAATACACAAGGAATTCAATAGCAAAAACAGTCCCATTAAAAAGTAGGCAAAGAATCTGAATAGATGTTTTTCAAAAGAAGACATATAAATGGCCAAGAAGTATGTAAAATATGCTCAACATCACTAATCATCAGGGAATGCAAGTCAAAACCACAATGAGATATTAGCTTACCCAGCTAGAATGGTTATTATCAAAAGACCCCCCACTCCTTCCCCCCAAAAAAAGCAGATGCTGAGGAGGATGCAGAGAAAAGAGAACTCTTATACACTTTTGGCGGGAATGTAAATTAGTATAGCCATTATGGAAAACAGTATAAAGTTTTCTCAGTAAAACTAAAAATAGAACTACCACGTGATCCAGCAATCTTACAACTAGGTATTTATCCAAAGGAAAGGAAATCAGTATATTAAAAGGATACATGTACCCCCATGTTATTGCAGCACTATTTACAATAGCAATGATATGAAATCAACCTAAGTGTCCGTCAATAGATGAATGAACAAAAAAAAAATTGCTATATATACACAGTGCAATACTACTCGGCCATAGGGAAAAAAATAAAATTAAGTCACTTGCAGCAACATGGGGGAACTGCGGGTCATTATGTTAAGTAAATTAAGCCAGACACAGAGAGACAACTGTTGCAGGTTCTCACTCATATATGGGAGTTTTACAAAAAAGTTTTACTTACAGACAAAGAGAATAGAATGATGGATCAGGTGGGGGAAAATGGCAGATTGGAGGCAGGACTAACTTGCAGCTCCCACTCCAGTGGACAGAGCAGTGTGTGGAGACTCACATCGTGAACTTTTGCTCCAAGAACTACCACAGGAACATACCGGGAAAGCCAAGAGGATCCACAGACCCTTTGAAGGAGGCAGATTGCTGTTGCAGGCCCCTGGAAATAGCAAAAAAAAAAAAAAAAAAAACTGAGTGTCCAAAGTGTGAAACTGTGAAAGGGGAGGATCATCCACCCCCAAACACACACCCTCACTAGGGAACCTGAAGGTCCATATCACAGAAGGATTTGACCTTACCTGGAGCTGAGACAAATTTAGAGAGCCGAGCAAAACACAACGGTAAAAGAAACAGTGGGAAGAGCCCTGTGGGCACTCTTTGTCCCCTGGAAAACCATTTCTGACTTTGTCTTACAGGGGTTCTTGAGGAGGGCTGCAGAGGAACTAGGAAAAGATCACAGGGAGAAGGAAACTTCCAGATGATCTCTGTAACAATTTCAACCAAGCGCTAAGTTTTCTGGACAGAACCTGAGGCAGGAGGTGAATTGGAAGTGCAGACATAGCACAGAAGCTGCAGCAGGCAGGGAGGTGCAAAACCTGAAAGCCCTGCTTACTTTCTCCCCCCGCCTCCCCTCCCCAAGGCTGGTAGCCTGGGGCAAGTTCTCAGCCCTTCTCACCCACTGCCTGGAAATTAACTCAATGCTGTTGGTGGCGACACCGTGGAAGTGAGACCAGACTTTTGGGCTGCGGGGGAGCTAGGTGAGGCCTGTAACTGCTGGCTTTCCCCCACATCCCTGGTAACCTGCATGACACAGCGAAAGCAGCCATAATCCCCTGGGAACATAACTCCATTGGCTTGGTAACCACACCCCTAACCCCTACAGCAGCCACAGCAAGCCCCAGCCAAGGAGACTTTGAGCTCAAAAATGCCTAACCCTGCCTCTACCTGATGGTCTTTCTTTACCTGCTCTGGTAGCTGAAGACAAAGGACAAAATCTCTTGGGAGCTCTAGGGCTCCGCCCACCACCTGATCCTCTCTATACTACTGCAGCTGAAGCTCTCTTAAAAGTCCCACCTCCTGGCTGGAGGCCAACTAACAAAAAACTAGTGCAATAAACAAAACTACAACCAAAGACTCTCACAGAGCCCACTTCATTCCCCTGACACCTCCACCAGTGCAGGTGCTGGCGTGGCAGACCAGGATTCACTAACCCAGGCCTCCATCACAACTGTTTCAGTACTGACTGAGTGGTTAGGTTAAATATTAAAAGCTAAAAAAGCCAGTCCGAAGGCTGGAATGTAACAAAAGCCCATCAAGAGTTTTACCTAGGCTTTCCTGGGCCTTAAAACATGACAAAATAATGAAGGAATTCTTAACAGGACCCGTTTAGGAATAAACAAGTTTTATTGGGGTTCTGAAGAAACCCCTCAGGACTCTACAAACAAGTTTATTGGAGGTCTGAAGGAACTCCCCAAACCTCCCTAACGACCTAATTGCTCTTCTTAAAGGATACAGAAAAACAGAATTCACCAACCAAGTATCTGCTATCTTCAAGAGACTCGCCTAACACATAAACATTATTGGAGTAGACATTTAAGGCTATGAACTTTCCTCTTAGCACTGCCTTTGCTGTATCACAGGGATGCAGCGAAGGTTTAATACACGCAAGTTAACAAATGTGATACACCACATAAAAAGAATTAAAAACAAAAATTACATGATCACCTCAATAGACACAGAAAAAGCATTTGACAAAATCCAGCATCCCTTTATGATTAAAATCCTCAGCAAAATCAAGGACACACCTTAAGGTAATAAAAGCCACCTATGACAAACCCACAGCCAACATAATACTGAACGGGGAAAAGTTGAAAGCATTCCCCGTGATAACTAGAACAAGACAAGGATGACCATTCTCACTACTTCTATTCAATATAGTACTGGAAATCCTGGCCAGAGCGATCAGACAAGAGAAAGAAATAAAGGGAATCCCATCAATGATAGACTGGATAAAGAAAATGTGGCACATATCCACCATGGTATACTATGCAGCCATAAAAAAGAATGAGTTCGTGTCATTTGCAGAGACATGGATGAAGCTGGAAACCATCATTCTCAGCAAACTAGCACAGGAACAGAAAACCAAACACCACATGTTCTCACTTATAAATGGGAGTTGAACAATGAGAACACATGGACACAGGAAAGGGAACATCACACACCATGCCTCTCGGGGGGTGGGGTCAAGGGGAGGGAGAGCATTAGGACAAATACCTAATACATGCAGGGCTTAAAACCTAGATGATGGGTTGATAGGTGCAGCAAACTACTGTGGCACATGTATGCCTATGTAGCAAACCTACACATTCTGCACAAATATCCCAGAACTTAAAGTAAAAATTTAAAAAAAGAAACAAACAAAGAAAGAAAGGGCATCCAAATTGGTAAAGAGGAAGTCACGGTCGGGCGTGGTGGCTCACACCTGTAGTCCCAGTATTTTGGGAGGCCGAGGTGGGTGGATCACCTGAGGTCAGGAGTTCAAGACCAGCCTGGCCAACATGGTGAAACCCCATCTCTATCAAAAATACAAAAAATTAGCCAGGCATGGTGGTGGGCACCTGTAATCCCAGCTACTGGGGAGGCTGAGTCAGGAGAATCGCTTGAACCCAGGAGTCAGAGATCGCAGTGAGCCAAGATTGCACCATTGCACTCCAGCCTGGGTGACAAGAGTGAGACTCCATCTCAAAAAAAACAAAACAAAACAAAACAAGTCACACTATCACTCTTTGCTGATGACATGGTTGTATGCCTAGAAAACCCTAAAGATTCCTCCAAAAAGCTCCTAGAACTAATGAATGAATTCAGCAGAGTTTCAGGATACAAAATTAATATACATAAATCAGTAGTTCTCCTATACACCGACAGTGGCCAAAATAAGAATCAGATCAAGAACTCAACCCCTTTTACAATAGCTGCAAAAAAATTAAAATACTTAGGGATATACCTAACCAAGGAGGTGAAAGACCTCTACAAGGAAAACACTGTTGAAAGAAGTCATAGACAACACAAACAAAAGGAAACATATCCCATGTTCATGGATGAGTAGAATCAATATTGTGAAAATTACCACACTGCCAAAAGCAATCTACAAATTCAATGCAATTTCCATGAAAATACCACCATCATTCTTAAAAGGACTAGAAAAGACAATTCTAAAATTCATATGGAACCAAAAAAGAGCCCATACAGCCAAAGCAAGACTAAGCAAAAAGAACAAATCTGGAGTCATCACATTACCTGACTTCAAACTATACTCTAAGGCCATAGTCACCAAAACAGCATGGTACTGGTATAAAAATAGGTACTTAGATCAATGGAACAGAACAGAGAACCCAGAAATAAAGCCAAACACTTATAGCCAGCTGATCTTTAACAAAGCAAACAAAAACATCAAGTGGGGAAAAGACAACCTATTCAACAAATGGTGCTGGGATAATTGGCAAGCCACATGTAGAAGAATGAAACTTGATCCTCATCTCTCACCTTATACAAAAATCAACTCAAGATGGATTAAGGATTTAAATCTAGACATTGGCTTAGGCAAAAACTTCATGAACAAGAACTCAAACACAAATGCAACAAAAACAAAGATAAATAGATAGGATTTAGTTAAACTAAAAAGCTTCTTCACAGCAAAAGAAACAATCAGCAGAGTAAACAGAAAACCCACAAAGTGGGAGAAAATCTTCACCATCTATACATCTGACAAATGACTAATATACAGAATCTACAAGGAATTCGGATGAATTAGCAAAAAAAAAAAAAAAAAAAAAAACAATCCCATCAAAAAGTGGGCAAAGGACATAACTAGACAATTCTCAAAAGAATATATATAAATGAACTGGGTGTGATGGGTCACGCCTGTAATCCCAGAACTCTGGGAGGCCTAGGCGGGCAGATCACTTGAGGTCAGGAGTTCGAGACCAGCCTGACGAACACAGTGAAACCCTGTCTCTACTAAAAATACAAAAATTAGCTGGGCATGGTGGTGCACGTCTGTAATCCCAGCTACTCAGAGGCTGAGGCAAGAGAATCACTTGAACCTGGGAAGCAGAGATTGCAGTAAGCTGAGATCGTGCCACTGCACACCAGCCTGGATGACACAGCAAGACTCCGTCTCAAAAAAAAAAAAAAAGAATGTATACAAATGGCCAAGAAACATGAAAAAATGCTCAACATCACTAATGATCAGGGAAATGCAAAACAAAATCACAATGAGATAACACCTCACTCCTGCAAGCATGGCCATAATTTAAAAATAAAAAAATAATAAATGTTGACATGGATGTAGTGAAAAGGGAACACTTCTACACTGCTGGTGGGAATGTAAACTAGTACAATCATTATGGAAAACAGCGTAGATATTTCCTAAAGAACTAAAAGTAGAACTACCATTTGATCCAGCAATCCCACTACTGGGTATCTACCCAGAGGAAAAGAAGTCATTATATGAAAAAGATACTTGCACATGCATGTTTACAGCAGCACAATTTGCAATTGCAAAAATATGGAACCAGCCGAAATGCCCATCAATCAACAAGTAGATAAAGAAACTGTGGTGTATAGAATACTACTCAACCATAAAAAGGAACGAAATAATGGCATTCACAGTGACCTGGATAGAATTGGAGAGCATTATTCTAAGTGAAGTAACTCAGGAATGGAAAATCAAACATTATACATTCTCACTTATAAGTGGGAGGCTAAGCTATGAGGATGCAAAGGCATAAAAATGATACAATGGACTTTGAGGATTTGGGAACAGTTTGGGAGAGGGGTGAGAGATAAAAGACTAGACATTGGGTATAGTGTAAACTGCTCAGGTGACAGGTGCACTAAAACCTCAGAAATCCCCACTAAAGAACTTATTCATGTAGCCAAACACCTCCTGTTCCCCCAAAAACCTATTGAAATTAAAAAAAAAATTACAGGAAATATGTCACAGAGAATTTGTGGGTAGAAAGAATAGAATGATAGTTGCCAGAGGTTGGGGTGTTTGGGGGTGGGAGGGCAGTGTTAAAGAGAGGTTGGCTAGGCCAGGCACAGTGGCTCACACCTGTAATCCCAGCACTTTGAGAGGCCAAAGCAGATTGATTGCAAGGTCAGAAGTTCAAGACCAGCCTCACCAAGATGGTGAAGTCCCGTCTTTACTAAAAATACAAAAATTAGCTAGGCGTGGTGGCAGGCGCCTGTAATCCCAGCTACTCGGGAGGCTGAGGCAGAGAACTGCTTGAACCCAGGAGGCAGAGGTTGCAGTGAGCCGAGATCGTACCACTGCACTCCAGCCTGGGCAACAGAGTGAGACTTCGTCTCAAAAAAAAAAAAGGACAGGTTGGTTAATGAGTACAGATGCACAGTTAGATAGAAGGAATAAGTTCTAATGTTCAATAGCAGAGTACGATGACTATAGTTAACAATAATAGTATATATTTCAAAACAGCTAGAAGAAAGGACTTGAAATGTTCCCAACACATAGAAATAATAAATGTTCAAGGTGATGGATATCTTAACTTAAATACTCTGACTTTACTGGTGCACATTCTATGCAAATAATAAAACATCACATATACCCCATAAATTTATGCAAATATCATATATCACTAAAAAGTGAAATAAAATTTAAAAATTAATAAAATCAAAGAGGAATTGTTTTTAATCAGAGGTTACATTCTGTTCCACATGCTTCAATTCTGACATGGGTCTAGAGAAAAAGTAAAGCTCATTTTAAAATTTTTAATGATATTTAATTGTCAGCTTAAATTATTTACATATTTCTAACCTAGCTTTTCTGTACTCATTGCAGAATGTAGACGCAATATTCTAAAAGCTCATTCTGGGCTCTTATGAGTGAGAGACGGGGCAGTGCCACAGATTGATTGCAGGAGCTAGAGTCACAAATGGTAGATTTAAGATATTTTTTATTCTCTTATATGCTGGCTGGACAACCTTCAGCAAAACAGTTGAACTTCCTATCTCAGGTTTACATCTGTCTAATAGGAATAATTATATTAACTCATGGTAGTATTCTAAGAACTCCATCAGATATTTGAAAGCATTATGCAAATGAGGGTGATTTATTCATTTGATTATGGAAAGTTTTCAGATAATTCTTAAAAATAAAAAACAATACTTATTAAAGACTTTTTCTGTTTATTGGGGTCTCAAAATCTTCACATATTGTGATAATGCAGACAGCAATATATTTACTATTTGAATTGCATTAGAACAAGAATATACCAATCATATGATATAATTGAGTCTGATGACATTATCCCTGGAGTTTTAGAAAGTTTTTAATTCTCCATGTTTACCTTCTTACCTGTAATTTGTTGTAAATATTGGACCCCTCCCTGAGTCACCCCAAAAAGAATTTAAATTGCCTTGTTGTTGTAATGGCCGGTCCTTTGGAGGATGTTTCTGGTGCTCAAAATGTAGCAAAACACTTAAGTCACCATAAAAGCCCCTAGAACCTATGGGCCTGTATCTTTTTTCTCCAAAATTAAACTAGAAACTCTACACCTGAGTTTCAGAATTTTATACAGCTTCATCTATCAGTTTTACCTGAGGAATAAACTACAGGTAAGTGGAAACTTAAAGAAAATAATTACAGCATGCTGTTTGCTATCTAATTCTCACTTACATCCCCTCACTTTATCATGAAAATTATTACATAACAGAACATTTTTTGAGGCGGTCAAGTAAAACAGCTGTTAAGAAAGAAGACTGGTCTCAAACCAAGGAAAGGAAACCATTCCTCAGGTTCACAGGTACAAAAATGATGGCATATTCCATCTTCTTGCTTTGTAAATATTGTTTTTCAATTATAGATATCAATTTTATATGCTTTAACTGGACATATCTAATTTTTCATCTGTCATGTTTTCGTCATTTAGCGTTACAGAGATTTGCATTATATGTTAGATCACTGTCTGGGTAACATTCACAACAGGACTCTTAGGTAGGAATTGGCCTCATTTAAAGAAGAGAAAAAAGGAGGTTCCAAGTCTTTGAGTTTCAAATCTATACTATAAAATGAAGTTCGGTGTTCTTTTCCAGTGTCACCTGCCTTTTCAAAAACATTTATTCTGCCTCTTCTCTCCTTTCCCCCAGAAGACAGAATGAGAACATTAGATTCCGCTGTCTGGTGCTCTAACCTAGAAACATCATTGCAAGACAGATGTATTCTCTCCCATTTTCAAGAGCCAGGCAATTTGAACACTATTATTGGACCTATAATCTGCTAAAAAAAATTAATTCTGTGTTCCAAATGTGTAGAACTGCAATACTATAATTTGACCATTTTCAGCAGCTGCTGTGCCCACTATGTTTGAAAGTATTTTTAAAATAGCTAAGACATCATATCACCTGTGTGGTTATATTCAGAATAATTGTTGGGTTCAAATTATATAAGACAAAAAATACGTTTTCTATAACTAAATATGAACGTAATTCAAATTGCATATAATTTTCTGTAAATATGAAGGAATGTAAATTACCTCTTCCACTAACCTTTTCTGGACGCTCCTTGGACCAGAATTACCAGTGACCAGTGCCTGTTTATTCTTTGCCTAAGAATGTAGCTTTCATTCACATACACTTTTAATTGTAACTAATTATGACCCAAAAAAGAAGCTAATGTGTTTTAAGTTCCTACTCTCTACCATAAACTTGTGTAGTGGGGCTAACAGAGGCTGGTTAGCTTGCTCTGAGTTTAACTGTTATCATATATGCTAAGTTTATGGTACTGAGCTGAGAGAAGCTAGAAATGCAGCATGATGCTACAAAGCTCATAAGAGGTGCAGCCAAGATTTTTTACAGCTCACGTGCATTTGACTACTATTGCTAATAATGTTCAATACACCCTAGGGCCTCTATATGAAAACTAAAGACAAAAGGAATGTGTACTTTTTCACATAATGAGCAATTCCTTAATGTGCTTACTACTTCTAGAAGAAAAACTGTGAGGGAGACAGAAGAGACAAAAGCTTTCTTAAAAAAAGGGGGTTGGGGACATGAATGGCAGAAGGGTTTGCTTCCTATAACCTCCAGGGCATGAGTCCTTTAACTTATCAACTGGGATGTTTTTCTTTTTCTCTGGGTTTCAATGAAGTCACTTTCACAGTCAGAAGTGAAAGAAACTGAAAAACCAAGGCAGAATGGGGCAGTTAGCCTGACGAGTTTCATTAGCTTAATAGCTAAAGCAATCAGTTAAGACCCAGCTTTGAAGGACCCAACAAAACTTTGGCCTTTCCTTCAAACTGAAACTACAAACACTTTAGTTTCCACTGATTATTCTAAAACTTGGCTAAGAACTCAGAGGAGACAGGATTGTCTCTTTTTAGAAAATAAAATAAATTATTAAAATAAAATGTTTTATTATCAATTTAACCTAAAAAGAACTACTATGTGTCCATTTCCAAGGAAGATGAATTTTGAGTCAGGTTCTCTACAAGCCAAAGAAGATGCCAACAATTGCCCTGAAAAACACTTACAAAACTACAAAGCACAGGTCACAGTCAAATATTGGGGAGAAAAGTACAAGACCCTGAAGAATATTCCCATAACAATCTTGAGTGTTTGTGTGTGTTTTCAGCTTTAACATTCCCTGATCAAAACTCCAGTGGCTCCCAATTGCCTAGATAATAAATTATAATTCCTTAACTTTACATTTAATATTCATCACAAATTGGCAAACCAGTTCTCCTCTTTTTTTTTTCCTTTTCCTACTATCCTCCTGTAATTGTTTTCTTCTGTAGAATTCCCACTGATGCCTTTTAGCCTCAGTCTATTACCTGAGGCATTTCCCCCTCAGCTCATCAGGACCAAATTCAATGAATATGATGAAATCTTGTGCTACCCCTCTCAGATGATTTCTCCTTCTTTGAAATGCATCTGTACTTAATCTGGGTGTTTGAATAAAATGTGTAGTGATTCAGAGGCTTCCCCGGGAATGGTGACTGATTGCCTACCAACACACCTATGGCAATGCTTGGTGATTTTACCAAGGTCCACATTCTGTCCCTTAGTACCACAGACTTAAAATTGATTTGTAAGTAAGAAGAGACTGGATCTCATTCACAGGTGTAGATTCACACGAGCTCACAGATATGACTAGGAAGTAGAGTGCCAAGCTTTACAATGAGAAACAGAGGCCTATGGGGAGCAACCACCAAATTTCTCTGCTCATTCTTTCTTTATATCCAAGTTACCTGAATGCGGGCTTGTCATTGGAAGGGAACACACAGTCAGATCAAGAGGATTACTTATGTGAATGGCATATTTCATGGCATTGGGCTAATACAAATGCCAGATTCGTTTTCCTCCACTCTAAGGATAACCGTTCCAGTGGGATGACAAGACTTAAATTCCTTGGGTGAACCCTGCCTTCCCAGACCTTGGAAAATTCCCTTTATTCTCCTCCATTGCTGACCATCTACTCTACAACTGACTTTTTTCTTTTACCTAGATGAAAAACTTTATTTTTAAAAATGTTTGGTCTAACTACGCTTTTTAAAAATTTTGTAAGTACCTCAATTTTTTATTCACTTAATCCACATTATGTTGTTTTTATGACATCAGAAGTCGATTTCTTTTTTTCTTTTTTCTTTTTTTTTTTTTTACATCTATGATAGTCCCTTCTATTAAAACCACATTTCTTTTTCTGTCTGGGACAGAATGCTCCCTCATATTTTTCTTTTATAAAACTGACTGTGCAAGTTATATACTTTTATTCTTTCATATGAATTTAGGATAAGTACTCAAATCCCTAAAAAAAAACCAGCTAAATCTTTAATGGATTCAATTGAATGTATAGACTAATTTGAGAGGGAAATGACAGCATTCTTATATTTTTATCCTACCTATTAACATGTCATACCTTTTCAATTACTCATATTCTACTATGCCCTTCATTATAATATAATTTTTAAAGAATTTCTATAAAGGTCTTACGTATCCCTTGTTGAGATAAATGTAGATCCTTATTTTTTGTTATATTTGTTTCTATTACTTTATTGTTTGTTGTTCATATAGAGAAAGCTATTGATTTTTCTGTTAAGCTTGCTTCCAGAAGTCTTACTAATTTTTCTCATCTTGCCTTACAAATTTTTGTCTTTAATCTGTACTTCAGCCATTTTCTTGTCTTATGATTTTAACCAAGGCTATCAATTTTACATTAAAGAGTAACTATAAGAGTGGGCATCCTTATCAAATTCCAGATCTTAATAAAATGTATAAAATGGCCGGGTGCGGAGGCTCACACCTGTAATCCCAGCACTTTGGGAGGCCGAGGTAGGTGGATTACCTGAGGTCAGGAGTTCAAGACCAGCCTGACCAACATGGTGAAATCCTGTCTCTACTAAAAATACAAAAATTAGCCGGGCATGGTGGTGCATGCCTGTAATCCCAGCTACTCAGGAGGATGAGGCAGGAGAATCATTTGAACTCAGGAGGCGGAGGTTGCAGTGAGCTGAGATCGTGCCACTGCACTCCAGCCCGGGCGACAGTGCAAGACTTTGTCTCAAAAAACAAAACAAAACAAAACAAAAAAACTTTAAGAATGTATAAACTGTCTCCATCAAGTATTAGTGAATAATAACTTAATATCTTTTTTTGGTATATGGTTTTCTTTGAAGTTCAGAAAGTCACCTTCTGCTTGAGGATTTCAGATAGTTTCTATAAAAATTACAAATTGAACTTTACTAAATGTGTTTTCTGCATCTTTTGAAATAATTACTACTTTTTTCCTTAAGTCTATTCATACCATAATTTACTGATGTTTACCAAATGTTTAAGAAAGGATAATTCTTATCTCCTACAATAATAGTCCCATTACCTTGGGTTATTATGAATTAAAAAAATTAGAAATGTATCTGGCATAATCAATACATAAATTACTATCTTATTATTCTTGTTGTTGATTAAAGGATTTTATGTATTGCATTGACGATTTTAAAACTATGCTCCCTGGAATCCTCTTAAACTTAACTGAGGGAGTAAGAGTGAATAAACAAGTAAAGAATGGTGTTTTATTCTCCCCTGTACACCAGTGTAACTTCAACTGGAGAAATTTTCCTTTTTATTTGTTTTATATATTACACTTCTGTATAAATTTTATTTTTCAATAATGAATGGTTAGACATCATTGGTTCAGTTCAATGTATATATTTTGAATAAAAGCACTATTATCACAATTGATTCTTTAGTTGTTGCATGCTTGAAAATAAATTAGGTAGAGGCTACAATAAACACCATTACATATTTTAATCAAAGCCAGTGATAAAATTGGCTTTGTAAATTTTAATTTATTCAATTTTTTAAAAATCATTTCTTTGAATGAATACTTCCTCATTGTACTGAAAAAACATACTGGAGGAGTATGAAGGTATGTTCCTTTTCTCAACGAGGTTACTCTCCTCAAAGAGGTCATATGCAGATACATAACCACTACTATACCCCAGTAGACCAGACTGAGTTTTCAAAAGATGCTCAACCACACAGGGCCACATTATGATTTTGATGGGCCCTAGGCACTTTTTTTTTTTTTTTTTTTTTGGCCTTTGTGGGGCCTTATTTCCATAAAGATTTAAAAGTCATATTTTACTTCTGCATTGTTACAAAAACAAATATAGTATATATTAAAACTTTAAAGTTAACGTTTTTCTTCATATTTTAAAAGAAATCAAAACATTTTCCTAGGTTTTTCACAATATGGTCGGAGTACTGTGCCTAATGGATAAGTTGGCCGTGCAGCCATAAGTCAAGATTCCAAATCCATATAAGATCCTGCCAGGTAATATAAACAATTGAGACCAACAATTGAGAATAACATGAGACTAACATGTTAATTGATAACTTATATTCACCTCCAGTGACAAGAGAGTGAGGATTGTAGTCTGGTAGAATGGAGGGACATGCGTTGGATCCAATGGGTCAGTTATTAATATAACTAAGCTCCATGACAGAAACAGGTCTAAAGTTTTCAAATATTCTAATTTATTCAAAGACAAGCTGAAGGCACAGATTTTTATACCATATCTGTTGATTAGAATGTTGATCTCTAGGCCGGGCACGGTGGCTCACGCCTGTAATCCCAGCACCTTGGGAGGCCGAGGAGGGCAAATCACGAGGTCAGGAGATCGAGACCATCCTGGCTAACACAGTGAAACCCCGTCTTTACTAAATATACAAAAACAAAATTAGCTGGGAGTGGTGGCGGGCGCCTGTAATCCCAGCTACTCGGGAGGCTGAGGCAGGAGAATGGCGTGAACCCGGGAGGCGGAGCCTGCAGTGAGCCGAGATGGCGCCACTGCACTCCAGACTGGGCGGCAGAGCGAGACTCCGTGTCGAAAAAAAAAAAAAAGAATGTTGATCTCTATTTCAAATTTAAACACAGTGCAGACAATCACTGCCAAACAAAGCACACCTGTCTGCTGAATCCAGGCTGTAGAACACTGATTTGCAGCCAATGGGTTAAGAGGCAGAACTTGTGGAAACAGCAATAAAGTGGATTGGGATCCAAAGGTCCTATAATCATGTGTTCTCTCTTAACTCTGAGACAGGTTAGGATTCCTACTCTAGTGGCCTGGGTTTTACAGGAAGAAATTGTCCCCAAACTTATATTGTTGCATCCAAAAACAGAACTGCAATAATACAGAATATGATTCTTAAAAGTAGCTCTCACAGACACTGTATTAACATATTCCTGTTCTATCATTCACAGAGTTCTGTTGGAGATCAGTATATGTAATATGGAAAGGACCAACGATTCCACGTCGACAGAATTTTTCCTGGTAGGGCTTTCTGCCCACCCAAAGCTCCAGACAGTTTTCTTCGTTCTAATTTTGTGGATGTACCTGATGATCCTGCTTGGAAATGGAGTCCTTATCTCAGTTATCATCTTTGATTCTCACCTGCACACCCCCATGTATTTCTTCCTCTGTAATCTTTCCTTCCTCGACGTTTGCTACACAAGTTCCTCTGTCCCACTAATTCTTGCCAGCTTTCTGGCAGTAAAGAAAAAGGTTTCCTTCTCTGGGTGTATGGTGCAAATGTTTATTTCTTTTGCCATGGGGGCCACGGAGTGCATGATCTTAGGCACGATGGCACTGGACCGCTATGTGGCCATCTGCTACCCACTGAGATACCCTGTCATCATGAGCAAGGGTGCCTATGTGGCCATGGCAGCTGGGTCCTGGGTCACTGGGCTTGTGGACTCAGTAGTGCAGACAGCTTTTGCAATGCAGTTACCATTCTGTGCTAATAATGTCATTAAACATTTTGTCTGTGAAATTCTGGCTATCTTGAAACTGGCCTGTGCTGATATTTCAATCAATGTGATTAGTATGACAGGGTCGAATCTGATTGTTCTGGTTATTCCATTGTTAGTAATTTCCATCTCTTACATATTTATTGTTGCCACTATTCTGAGGATTCCTTCCACTGAAGGAAAACATAAGGCCTTCTCCACCTGCTCAGCCCACCTGACAGTGGTGATTATATTCTATGGAACCATCTTCTTCATGTACGCAAAGCCTGAGTCTAAAGCCTCTGTTGATTCAGGTAATGAAGACATCATTGAGGCCCTCATCTCCCTTTTCTATGGAGTGATGACTCCCATGCTTAATCCTCTCATCTATAGTCTGCGAAACAAGGATGTAAAGGCTGCTGTCAAAAACATACTGTGTAGGAAAAACTTTTCTGATGGAAAATGAATACTGATTTATACTACATGACTTAATATTCAATGCTGCTGCAGACATAAAATTCAGAAAGATAAAATTACCATGTGAAAACAAATTTTGCCATGTGGCATTCAAAACCATATGGTAGAAATATTTTTGGGCCAGGCACAGTGGCTCATGCCTATAATCCCAGCACTTTGGGAGGCCAAGGAAGGTGGGTCACCTGAGGTCAGGAGTTCGAGACCAGCCTGGCCAATATGGCAAAACCCTGTCTCTACTAAAAATACAAAAATTAGACAGGCGTGGTGACGTGGGTATGTAGTCCCAGCTACTTGGGAGGCTGAGGCAGGAGAATTGCTTGAACGGGAAAGGAGGAGGTTGCAGCAAGCCGAGATCTCACCTCTGCACTCCAGCCTGGGCGACAGAGCGAGACTTCGTCTCAAAACAGAAATATTTTCTCTTTTACTGTTAGATTTTTGTTTAAAAATATATAACTATAGAAATAAAACATGCTCCTGGTGTTAAAACATACTATCATGGATAAATGTTGAAAATCTCTTTGGAAGCCTGAGCAGAAAATAATCACTCTCCAATCTTCGGAAAATAATAAAGGCAAAAGGCATTTGAAAAAGCAATTTATGACCTATATTAAATTCATTATTTATTAGTATGCAAAGTAAATATTAATCACCACATGATGTATTATATATTCATTTTTAATTGTTCATTTATTTACTGTACATTGTCCACTACACATATAAGCTCCCTGAGGGTAGGATCTTGTCTGTTTATTACCCTACAACATCCAAAAAATCCTGTAATAGAGCCTGACACATAATGGGTGCTCAATAAATATTTTTGAACAAATAGGTGAGCCACCTCACATATAAAACGAGAAATGTATGTTTGTGGTATCTGAGGTAGCAAAGGTTATTCATCAGAAATTGATTAGATTAAATACTTCTAAATAAACTGTATTGACATTTAGTCATATACACTCCTTAATAGCTAAGGCATCACCTTTTATTTTCCATAACTTTTCTTGAATTTGATTTATAATAAGACTAAGATAAATGAAAGAGTTCCCTGGTAATGCGTCCTAAGTTTTAATTTAATAAAACATAGATAGCCTGGTAGCATAGTGCTACTCTTGGACTTTGAGAAGAGACCAGGCTGAAATAAGGACTTTTTTTCTACTCTACATTAGATCACACAGAATCTAAGTAGTAGAAAAACTAGACAGAACTAGTGACTGACAAAAATTGCAACATGAGTATAAGAAGTGGCAGAAGAAATTAAGTCAAGTTATCCAATGTACTAAGGAGCACAGGGTTTTGGGCACTGAGGGATAAGACAGAGATGGCTCAAAAGTGAGATCATCTCTATTTATGCTCCCTGTGGGGCAGCACCCATGTGAGGAAGTCCCACCTGCATTGAAGGAATTGAGTCAGTGATGGTCAATAGAAGAAAGCATTCCCTTTACCTACAGATCTTTGAGGAGTCTATGGTAGTTGAAATGTAAAACAGAAATCCAAAGTAAAAGACTAGAGCTACTTCTAACTTGTGAGAGTAAGAGCACAATACCTTCCCATGTGTTAACAGGCAATTATTGTAATTTCATAACATAATAAGTTAATTCATGCATAGCACTTAATAGTGCCTGGAAAATCCAAAATCCCCAATACACATCAACTATTTTATTATTTTTAGTGTTGGGTATACTTTAATAAGTCTTAAAGCTTTGAGTTGGCATGCAATTTTTATCCTTTTTTTTAGGGCATAACTAATGCTATTAACTCTCTTAGCTTCGAATCTACTTTTCTATGTTCTGCCTTGTTAGTTAGGGTTGGCACACTAAAAATCACATTTCATTTCTCTTTTGTTAACTAGCTTCTGTTAGACTCTACCAGAAGAAGTGCTAGAGGGTAAATGAAAGCTTCGATGAAAGTAAGGGATTTGCCCCTCCCTATTTGCTTCCCATTCCTGTCAGCATCACCCCAGCTTTAGTTCTTCACTATGACAATTAGCTGCTTCCAATATTGGTTTTAGTTCCATCTATTTTTCTCCATAATCCAGAATTAATAATCTACCAGCACCATATCCTCAGAGTTTTAAGTCTGTCACTTGGCTCTTATTTCTGGTAAATTATAAGGCCTATCAAGTTTTTAGTCTCTCTTGAGGTATCTTTAAAAGCAATGAAATATGCGACTATCTGCTTGAGAAATGTAGCAAATCAGATGGATAATAAGCAATAGACTGGGTCAAGCAAGACATTTTCTTTTTCTTCTGCAGTTGCTTTCTTGTTTTTAAACTGTAGACTATTAAAAGTCTCTTTAGTACACTCTCAAATGGAATAATTATAATAATTATATAATCATTATATAATAATCAGAGCCTCAGGGAAATGTGAGACAATACTAAGAGTACCAAGACACACATAATGGAAATAACAGAAAGAAGAAGGCAGAAAAAAATACTTATTTAAGTAATTGCTAAAAACATCACAAATTTGATGAAACACTAGTCTATACATCCAAGAAGATCAATGAATTTTAAGTAAGGTAAACTAAAAAGAGATCTACACTCAGATACACCATAGTCAAAATATTGTAAGATAAAGAAGAAAAAAAAAACACCTCATAAACATCAAGAGAAAACTGGTTCATCATGTGTAAGGGAGCCACTATAAGATTAACAGCAAACTTCCCATCAGAAACAATTGAGGCTATATGGCAATTGGATAACATATTCAAAGTCCTGGAAGAAGAAATAAAAAACAAAAATAAAAATAAATGTCAACCAAGAAGCCCATGTTCAGCAAAACCATATTTCAAAAATAAAGGTGAAATAAACGTGTTACCTGATAAACAAATTGAGATGATTCTTTGCAGGCAGACTTACCTTATGAAGATACTAAAGGAAGTTCTTCAGGATAAAAAAAAAGTAATACCAAACAGCAATTCAATGCACACACATACACAGAAGGTAATTCAAAAATACACTTTAAAAAATAAGTAAGTGAATTAAAATGCTATGTTAGCTTATGTGGTTAGGCTGCCTAAAATTTTCTTGTAAACCTGCATGTTCTTTTTGGTTTATTTTGGAGGGAGAAGAAAGGACATTTGTTCACTTGTTTTAAAGGAATTTCTTTACAGAACTATTCCACTCAACTGCTTACAATACTGTCAACATCTGGCCCTTGGGAAATGCACAGACTTTTTTGTTCCACTAAACTCTGAAAACACAGTTCCTTTCCCTACATTGTTATTTCTCCATGCTCTGCTGCTAAGCGTGGGCAGCTTCAGCCCAAGACAATATTCCCCAGTAAGAAATGCCAGTCCCTTGAATTTTAAGATGCTTTATAAATAGCTCTCTTGAAAGATCACCTTCCCTTGTAGGTGGTTGTGGGGTTGGGGGTAGAGAAGGAAGAGATTATGGTGATGGTAGAATGTACATCATAATCATCTTTGCCCCTACAAAATTCACACAACTGAGGTTCAAACTCTACTACATTCTTCACTTTCTCTCACAGATCCTGGGAGTGTGTGACAAACTAATGTGTACAAAGAAGTGGTTTCACAGTTTTTTAGCATGTTCTAAACAGGTAGTCCATAAATTCACTTTAGTACATAGGAGTTTAGAGTACCTATTATATTGCTCTCTGCTGTTAGAGCATCTGACACAAAATGATATAATGCTAAATGAAATACCAAATATAAAAGTATATCTATGTCATAATCACTTTTAAGTGTTTAAGCCAGCCCTACAGAAAAAAAGAATTCCCTAACCAAGCCTGAATATGACATTGTCCATTGTCCTTGCCCATATTTCCCACACACCATTAATTTTATGACTGGTTACATGGTGATATGGTTTGGACTTGTGTCCCCGCCCAAATCTCATGTCAAATTGGAGGAAGTGCCTAGTGGGAGGTGATTGGATCATGGGGGCAAATTTCCCCCTTGCTGTTCTTGTGATAGTGAGTGAGTTCTCATGAGATCTGATGGTTTTAAAGTGTGTGGCACTTCCCCCATTGTGCTCTCTTTCTCTCCACCATGAGAAGATGCACCTTGCTTCCCCTTTGCCTTCTGCCATGATTGTAAGTTTCCTGAGGCCTTCCAACCATGCTTCCTGTTAAGCCTGTGGAACTGTGAGTCAATTAAACCTATTTCCTTCATAAATTACCAAGTCTCAGGTAGTTCTTTATAGCAGTGTGAAAACAAACTAATACACATGGCCACAGTTTCCTTAAAAAGTCTAAAATTTTTAGCTAGTTACAGAAGATCTCATAAAGATAGATCAAAAGATGACTGAAGCCAAACAACAGATTTAAAAGGGGAACTCTAGCACTTTACTGATATATTTAATCCTTTTGATTTTCTCCAAGTGCCTGACTAGAATTCTCCTTCGTCTCCATCCCAAATGAAATAAAGCAGAATGTTCAAAAGAATAAGAACTCACACTCATGAAAGAAAATTTAAAAAATCGTTCTTCATTTCTGCTGTTCATATAGGATAGTAAATTAAATAGGTCTTTCTAACTAATACTACCAAAATGAAATCTGAACTACATTCAATCTCCATGCTTAAGGCACAGTCTTTGCTTACTGCATCTGTTGCTATGAAACAATAAATATTTTAGGATCCCTCTAACTGTAATACAATTGGATATCAAATAAAACTGACATTGATATAAATTTGGCATTACAAAAAGTGGATATTTTCCCTAAGGAACCTCTTATTTCATGCCCTGTGGTAGTCATTAGTGCTGTTCGCTGCACATTCTGGTTCTCCTTTTAGGAATACAGAAAAATTGCTATTCCCCTTGAAACTGGACCCAAATTTTCTTTGCTGTGACCAGTGAGGTTCTAATGGAAGTGGTATTTATTGTTCCCAGATAGAAATATTTATTTGCCAGTGAGAGATCCTTCCACTCCGTCTTCCCCTTGCCAGGTGGAAAAGTACATTTCAAAATGGAGCCTCCATTAGTCTATGTCCCTGAGTGACTGTCAGAACCTTCCTGCCACTCATGACACATTATACACGTAGCAGAATCAATAAGTAAACCATTATTGCAAAAAGCCACAGAGGTTGAAAGGATTTGTTATTACATCCTAACCATCCTACAGCCATTCCTGACACACAAACCCAAACACACAAATAAAGGAAAAAGCTATGAGATGAAACAAAGTGAGATGACCTGCAAAAAAGGCAGTAATAAGATTAGATTGTTGGAAAATGCCAGTATCAGCTCTGCAGATGGATTTTTAAATAAAAATTTGGAGATTTGAATCTGGGACTCCTCCATTAGACCTGAACCCTCTACTAGGGCCAAAGGGGCTTTTCAGGGTCACTGTGGATGATTTTACAAGATGTACTTACACAATTTCACAACATTCAGTAATAAGCTATTCACAACCTAGAAAGCATAGACTTGAAAATTTATCATAGCAATTTTCAGGGAGATAGAAGTAAAGTATTTTGTTTTAACACTATCAACAGCATAATTTCTTAAAAGCTGGAGATCAAATGTCCTAAGATGAGTCACATTTTCCAGTGCTCACACATGTAACATATAAGCTAGCAGCAGCACTTAATGGTTTCACGTTAGTACCACTTGCTTATTCCCAGCAAAAGCAGATCAAATGCTCTCTGGAGGAAATAATCTTCAGTTTAATTCTGCAGGATACCCAAAGAAAAATTGAATTTACACTCACAAATCACTCAACACAACAGAAGTAAACCGCCATTAGTGAGAGTCCACACTCACAATAACCAGTCATTGTAAATGAACTAAACTCATAATTTTTAAAGTAGTATTATTATAATAGACATATAATATTTTATTTTAAGGGAATACATAACTTTCATTTTATTTTAATATGTATGTTTTCTACTACATACAACAACATAGGGGTTGAAGTAAAAAGAAGGAAAAAGTATACTAGGCAAGTAACAATCAAAAGCTGATGTTTCTATATTAATATGTGACAAAATTGATTTAAGATCAAAAAGCATTACTAGAAGTAAAAGAGGAAGTTGCATTATGATAAATGTTTATTTAATCAGTAAAACATGAATTGTAAGCTTTATTCTCCTAATAAAACAGCCTCAATATATAAAAGAAAACTCAATATAACTACATATCATCTTAAGCACTGAAAGAATAAACAGACAAATATAAGGATCAACAGATTTGAACAAAAACATTAACGAGCTTATCAGCCCAACTATTATGGAATATAGATTCTTCTAAAACACATTTGAGACATTTGCAAAAATTGATATTATGTTAGGCTGAAAGCAAGAATCAGTAAATTTTAAGGAAGCAATATTAAACAGTCATATTCTCTTTCCTATATATGATTAAATTAAAGGTAATTAATTAATTTAAAAGTTCCATAACCTGAGACAATTAAAACGCACTTCTAAGTGATTGAGTAGCAGCGATGTTCAAAATATTTAACTTCTGTGGCAAGTGTTCTAGTAAATTAGAATAAATATTTGCCATAAACAACCAGTGTGGCCATAGTAATTAGTGTGTGCCAGCAGTGTCAGCCCTTGCTCATAGGTAAGAGAAAAAAATTACAAACAAAAAAATTAAAATTACAACCCCCAAATTAAAATCTCATAAAACCATGCTTAAGACTGCAGCCAGTAGTACAGCTGTATTACTTGTTTATAGTTGGTGTCCATTCTGATCGGGTGGCAGCTATGCCATAGTCTTTGTTAAATACATTCACTATTAATCCTGCTAAGAAATAAAGTGTACTTGAATAATGCATATTAACCTTTACCAGGTTCAGAAAAAGTAACTTTTTCTGGAAAATGTTTATACTTAAATTCTTGTAGAAAACTTGACTTCATAAGGAAGAAAAAAGGAAGGAAACAAAAGGAAAGAAAGACAATGAGAAGGAACAATCTAAGTAATTTGAATTCAGAGAGGATATGCTAAGCATTTTGCTATTTATTCATATTATACTATTTCTAATTAAATCTTCATAGTAATAGTGAAAATTATATTTTCTTGTTCTTAATTTACAGCTGAAGAGACTAAGATTCCTAGAGGTTCTAAGTGGAAAAGCTATGTTTCTTTTCTCTAGATGCCTGCTAGTCAGGAGGGAAACATCTGAAAGTCCAGTTGCTTCTGAGTCATGAAAAATAATCCAAAGGTATTAGAAGGCAAGAGAGTTAATAAAGAGAGTTAAGTTACTGGATTTTACCTTGGTATTTCTCTAAAGCTGTTAAACTGGATACTTAGATTAATTCGGGGGACTATGATGACCAAGTCCTGTGATGATTGTGGCCGTGATGTAGAGTGGATAATAGTTTGACCTTTTCTTGATCCCAGTATTGCATCATCCTCTTGAGAAATTTATGGATATCCCTGTACTCACAGGTAAAGGACAGTAAGCGCTAGGACCAAGGGCTTTAACCAGAAAAACTGCTGAATAAACCTGGGGTCATGGGTTTTCAGCGCGATGTACTTTAGGGAAGATGAGAGGGTGCAAGAAATTTTTGTTAATTAAGAGAGACAGAAAAACTTAGTGGTAAGGAGACTAAATATGTTGTCAAACTGCTTAGATTGGAATCTCACCTCCACATCTATCTTGCTTGCCTATGCAAGTGATTTAATGTCTTTGAACCTCAGTTTTCTGATGTACTGTGAAGGTTAAATGTACCAGCTCACTCATCCACATTTACAGCATTTCTCTCACTGTAGAGAAAGGATGCTTAGTTCAACAAATCAAGGAGGTGGAGAAATAGGGGAGGTTAATTATAAGCAGGTTTACTTGAGGTGATAGCGAATCACCAGGTTGATGGAATCCAGCCGGTATATGGAGATGCAAATTAAAACACTAATGATGGACATTCCATTTGATGCTATAGATGGTGTAATTCTTGATGCAAATATTATAGGTAATGCAGAATATGAGAAAAGTAGAGCAACCGTTACTAACTTCACCCCACCTTCTAAAGAAGAAAGAAATACAAGCACTAAAAGAGAGGCAAGCAGGCTGTCCAAGGGGTGGAAAAAGAGGCATGGCTATGTAGTCTCAGAGATCACAAAATGAAGAGCCTCCAAAGCCAAAGGGACTAACCTAACTCTAAGAATGGATATTAGAGATACTAACATCAAAAATATCAGAGATACCCGTGTAGAAAGAAAGACTCTGACCCAATGAGTTCAGAAATGGTTCCTCTTGGGCATATTGGAGAGGAAACTCTACACCAGTGAAAAGTCCAAAGTTGTCAAGATCAGTAGGACTCTAAACAAAGACGATAGAGCAATTATTTTGCTGAGCCTAGAGAGGAAATTATTTTGACTGTCTCTGGACCAACATCCATAAGGTTTCTAGAGAAATGGGAAAACGAAGAAGGCGACTTTTCCTCGTTGCAAATTAATTAAAAATGAAACAACCACTTCAGTGACTTATGTTTTCTGTAGCTCAGGTAAGGGAACACATTAGACATCATTTATGTCACAAATACATTTAATCCTCATAAAAACCTGAAGATATACATAATTTACACAATAAAGAACAGGTAGTCCAAAAAAGTTATATGAATTGCCCTAGGTCATACAGCTAGGAAGCCACACTGTGGAGGGTGGAGTGCAACTAAAGAGATTCCAAAATTCATACACTTCTTATTACCGCACCGTAGCGCTCCATTTTTTTCTGATTGCTAAAAGACCTGCCAAGACCTCTCTATCCACCTCTGTAGCAAATAGATAATGACAATGTACAGCTCTATATGACCTTTAACCGTGTAAAACAGAGTGCTTCCAGACAGGCCAACCAACTCAGGAAGACCATTTCTTTTCTATTTGTTATCTCTAGCCTGGTAATTTTCTCCCACAGGAATATAAAACACAGTCTAATATTTACACCTGAGCAGGCAACTACATCTCAAAGGACATCATTAAAAGCTGACTGACCTACTTCTCTCTGGTACAAATAGGTTACATAGGGATGATATCCCACGTGCCTGCTAACAGTCTAAAGTCAAGCTTGTTAAAGTGAACTTGTAACTTTTTAACAACACTCTTCCCTCCACAAGTTTTCTGAAGGGAATCTAGGGCTGTTCCTAGGAGATTGATTTCTCCTCTTTAGTTGTAACTAAACAATAAAAAAGGAGCGTATGAGATCATCATGTGGAAAATTTAAAATGGATAATCACTTTATTCTTGGTAAAGAGAGCGGTCCTCTATGAACTGCCATCACCAAGTCATTTAGAAAATGTAATTAGACAGGCTAAAGAAGACTTATTCCAATAGAGACATAGAGTCACAAACTAGTGAGAAAGGGAATATGATAACACATGTATTTTGTTTGGTCACATGGAATTAATGAGATTTGCCACAGTCCTCACCCTTCTATATTGCTTCACATCCAGTCTGTTTCATTCAAATACATCAATTGCATAGCAGTGAAGATATTTGAGTTTGTGACCCCAGAATACATTAAATTATTCAGGTATTTCAATTTCATCCTGGGAAATTAATTCAGGGCCTACATAATTAATGTTATGATTTAAAAAAAAAAAGAATTAGAGTTGTAAGGAAATAGAATGGATCCAACTTTTGGAATGGAGAGTTTTTTCTCCTGCACTGTTCACATATCCAGGACAGCCATGGGATGGAACAATATAAAGGACAATCCTGCAGCACCAAGGATAGGATTCATTAAGACTTTTTTTCCCAACTCTGATTTACGTAATCTACAAAGACACTTAAAGATGGCACAAAGTAAGAGCACAGGGCCAGTAAGATGACTGGCAAATAAACAAAGAATGGTAAGTAAATGATCATACTAATCAGCATGCCTTTGTAATCTGACTATCCATCATGCTGATTCAGAATCACTGTGGAAACTATGACCACCCCCAAACAACAAACTGTTTATTCATCTGAATCTATATAGGTGATATTCTATTAAGTGAGGATACCCAAGCTTTCTAGCAGAGGTTGTATCATAAGTATCTATGAGATGCTTCATTGAGAGTATATTATATTGAATATAACACAAATGTGAGCAAGTGTTCAAGGGTTGATCATGCTGCTTAACTTTTTGTCATGATTGCTCAAATTTGTGATGAAATTTGAGAACTTAAATTTGAATGTCTCAAATAATTATACCATTATTAACATTATTTAGCACCAATCGCAACTAAAAATGTATCTGTATCTGTCCCTTTGACATCTGGTAGCATTTGACACAGGCATCTGCAGTGAGAAGGGAATTGGACCATGCTGACCTTCCATCTCCAGTGTTTCTGCCATACTATGCTCTTCACCCACCCCCACTTCACGCAGAGCTCCAGGAGAAGCATGATGCTCTAGTTCAGCCCTGGCTATTGGGTTGGTTTGAAAGAGCTCAGGTCTTTTAGGGAGCTGAGGCTCTAGGACATACTAGTGAATGTTGCTGGAATGACAGTCCTGAGCTTTGGAAGTATGAGCCATGCTTCTCTCAAACATTTTCTGGTTTATTTTATAGGAACCTGTGCTGCATGTGAAAAAGAAGAACATGTAGTCAGATTGTAGCATTTTCTCTCATTTTGAGACAAATTTCACTGTCCAGAAGAGTATTCTCACAAGACACCAAGTTGTGACCATTTCCCAGTTTGCTATGATTGCGAAACTAGGCCCTGACAGGGATTTATTTTTTAATTAAGAAGTAAGACATAGGCAACAATCAATCATTTAACAAATCTCAGCTGGTATGACATGCTGATAAGCAGAGTAGTGGTTTGAAATGTATCACATTTTGAGAATATCTGCCATGCAACTACCTGGAAAATACACTGAAGGAAGGGAATAGTGGAAGTTGAGAGACCAGTTAGGAAGCTGATGCAAAATGCCATTTTATCTTATTTACAATTGTCAAGATTGAATATATTCAAGGTATATATGTATACATTGTGTAATGATTATCAAAATCAAATTAATTAACACATCCATCACCACCTATGCTGTACTTTAGTTATCTTGTTCATCTTTTTTTTTTTTTTTTTCCGAGACAGGAGCTCACTCTGTCACCCAGCCACGGGTCACTGCAACCTCAATCTCCTGGGCTCAAGTGATCCTCCCACCACAGCATCCCCATAGCTGGGACTACAGTCATGCACCCCCTTGCCCAGCTAATTTTTTGTAGAGACGGGATTTCACCATGTTGCCCAGGCTGGATCTTGTTCACCTAATAACTGGAAGTTTGTACCATCTGACCAATACCTCCCCATTTTCCCCACTCCCAACCCCTGGCAACCACCATTCTACCTCTGCTTCTATGAGTTTGACAGTAATGCCATAATAAGCAGGAACTCAGGACTCGTCAGAGTTGTGTCCTACTCATCTTTGTGCCTACTAACGTGCTTGCTGAACTACATTGACGTGAATACACTTACCAAAAAAAAAGAGCCTCTTCTAATTTAGATGAAATTATCTTAGACAACTTGCTAATACTTTGTTTAATCAAATTCAATAAGTTTATAATTTTGTCTATTAGAAGCAATACATATTTTTCTCAACTCATCAGGAATAGATTTCATTCTTTGGAAACAGTGATTCATTTTGATATTCTTTCCACTGATTTATATAACTTCATACTGAAACAAAATGATTTCATGTCTGTTTTATTTACCAAAATCAATTGAAAGTGATTATTTTTGGCATCAATATTAAGCAAACTATACTCAGATTCACTGATTTATAATCAAATGTAACAATGTTAACCGTTTTTTAAGGAATTCCTATTAAATGCCAAGAATCAAGATAATCACCCTTTAAACTTTACCACATAACAGTCCTGCAAGATTATTATAACACTAATTTTATAGCTTATTAGAGGTCATCAAGCTACAAATCAGGAAACTGAGGTCCTAATCCATGTATTTCCAACTCCAAAGTCATTCTCCTTCTGTAAAAGCAAGGTGCATATTTACAGTCATCAATACTTTTCTAATCAATATAATTAGAAGAGTGGCAAGCACTCTTACTGAGTATCTACTATGCCTCCATAACGATGTTAAATTCTTCATATGCATAACCTCATTAATTCTCAGGATAACAACATCAGGTAGGCATTTTTAAGTTTCTAATTTCACATATGAGGAAATTGAAGCTTATAGAGGTGCAGTAACCTTCCTAAGATCATAGAAGCAGTGTTTGACAAAGTGGGGCTAATTCCAGAATCTGTGCTCTTAAAGAGTTCATTCTTAACTCTTACATGACAGAGAGTGCTTTGCTCCATAGAGTCCTGTAAAACCAGTAACCACAAGCAGTATGCATAGGAGGGGTCCTTATTTATCATAGAGAACCTCACATTCCTAAATAGTCTCTTCAGCAATACAAGTACTTAATTATTTTTTTAAAAACACATGGAGAATGGCTGAAGGAACATAGAACAATAGACCAGACCAGGACAGGAACAGCTATCTGTAAATACTTAAAAAAAAAAAAAAAAAAAACAAAAAAAAACTGTCCTCACTCCTGTAATCCTAGCACTTTGGAAGGCCAAGGTGAGAGGATCACGAGGTCAGGAGCTCAAAACCAGCCTGGCCAACATGGTGAAACCCCGTCTTTACTAAAAATACAAAAAAAAATTAGCTGGGCACGGTGGTGAGCGCCTGTAATCCCAGCTACTTGGGAGGCTGAGGCAGGAGAATTGCTTGAACCCGGGAGGCGGAGGTCGCAGTGAGCTGAGATCACAGCACTGCACTCCAGCCTGGGTGACAGAGCGAGACTCTGTCTCAAAAAAAAAAAGAAAAAATAGCTGTCATGAGAAAAGTCTGTATTTTTTTGTTGTTGTTCTACAGGGAAAAAGAGTTGCATACAGACAGTTATATATCAACATATCTATATATCTATACCTATAGATATATAATATATATAGTTGACTGTAAATAACTTTCTAATAATTAGAATTGTACAAAAATAACTTGTGTGGCCTCAGGAAGTGTTCTAATCACCACTAGGTCTGCAGGCAGAAGTAAGGTAGTCACCAGCCATACTGTAGATGTGTTTCTGTCATCTCATAAGGTTTAGGACTAGGTTTAAGATAATTTCCACCTCTAAGATCCAATTATGTAGAACTTGATTATTTCACTGGTATGATTGTATTTCAGTATGTATGTAATTATCTTTACCTCTACTTTCATAATTCATTATTGAGGTGATTAAGGTTATGCAAAACAATAGAAACACCCCCTTAAAGAATGTTATAATTATTATTACAGAATTGTTTATAATAGTAAAGAAATGAAAGGAAGATAAATCCCCATTAATTGAAAATAGATCAAATAAAGCTTGAGATATAAATAGAACAGAATACTATGTGGCCTTTATAAATCATGTGTTCCCTGAGTATTTGATAATATGTAAAAAATTACTTGTGATATAGTGTTGAGTATAAAAGGATGCAAATTAAAAGTAAAGGTAGAAGAAATATTATAACCTGTAATATAAAGTTACTTATGTTTATCTTTAAAATTTATGACCCTATCTTTTTCTACCATGTCCAAGTTTATATCAAGGCTGATCACAGAGTCTAGCCCATAGCAGGTATTAAATAAATATTTTGTGAATGAATAAGGGGGGAACTGTGAGACATAGCTTTAATAATCCATTTTGGAAAAATCAGTTAATATTTTTACAATGTAAATCTGGTCTATGCCTGAGACATAAAACAACATAGTTATCATATGGATGGAACGAAAAAATAAGTCATAGAAGAATATTTCATTGAGGCTTTTTCATATCATATTAAAATCTTACCTCAATTTTTTTAAAAGCATGTTAAAAATAAGAAGAAAAGACACAGTTTGAAAGATATTTGCAGAAAATTTGAAGAGCAAAGTGTTAATCATATAATCTAATTAATAGTTCATACATTGAAGAGGAGAGAGAATATAATAAACACAAAGAAAATGTTCAATCTAACCACCAATCTTAGAAATAAAATATAAAACAAAGTAACATTTTATACAAATAGAAAAGAATACATATATTTTCTGGTTCTAGAAAATGTACAAAGAATGTTCTGTGCAAATATTTCAAGAAAAATATGAAGTGTAATTGGGGGAAACAATT